>NW_019805498.1:0-181167 GCF_000001405.40 Homo sapiens
GAATTCTTTTTCAAGTGAATCAGGGATTTCTTCTTGGTTTGAATCCATTGCTAGTAAAATGGTACGATTTTTGGGGGGTGTTAAAGAGCCTTATTTTGTCATATTACCAGGGTTGTGGTTCCTTCTCATTTGGGTAGGTTGTGCCAGAGGGAAGGTCTAGGGCTGAAGGCTGTTGTTCAGATTCTGTTGCCCCACCGGGTGTTCCCTTGATGTAGTACTCTCCCCTTTTTCCTATGAATGTGGCTTCCTGTGAGCTGAACTGCTGTGATTGATTCTTGTCTCTCCTGGGTCTAGCCACCCAGCAAATCTACCCAGATCCGGGCTGGTACTGGGGGTTGTCTGCACAGAGTCCTGTGAGGTGAACCATCTATGGGCTCTCAGCTGTGGATACCAGTGCAGTATTTGGAGTGTCTCCTGGGTCCTGCAGGAGCAGTTGCTTCTTTCAGAGGGTCTGTGGGTCCTCTCAAGATTGCCGGTTTGTTCTTGCTGTTGATCTGGAGCTTAAATTCACAATGTGAGCCTCCGCACGCTGCTCTGTCCAGAGCTGCAATCTAGTCCTGCCTCCTATTTATTTTTAATGGACAAAAATTGTATATATTTGTGGTATACAAAGTGATGTTTTGATATATGTATACATTGTAGAATGGCTAAATTGAGTTAATTAACATATTCTTAGTTCCACATACTAACCTTTATTGTAGTCATAAAATTTAAAATCTTCTTTCTAAAATTTCAAGTAGATAGGAGGAATAATTTCAAGAGATATATTGTACAACATGGTGACTACAGTTAATAACAATGTATTGTATTTTGAAAATCACTGAGAGTAGATTTTAAATGTGTTTTGCTGCAAAGCATAAGTGTATAAGGAAATGTGTATGAGGTATGTTAATTAGCTCAGTGTAGTCATTCCATATTTTAGGTTGATGCATAAGTAATTGCGTTTTTTTTTCTTTGCCATTGAAAGTAATGGCAAAACACTGCAATTACTTTTGCACCAAACTAATACATATTTTAGGCACGTTTGGGGTGGTGTGGTCACAGACTACATATATGTTTTAAAACATCATGTTGTATATGATAAACATGTACAATATTTAGTTGTCAAAAAAGAAAATATAGTAAAATGCTCAGCAATTTTCAAGTATACAATACCTTGTTATTAATAATTATATAATTGTATACAATTTTCAAGTACGCAGTACATTGTGACATTGTTATAGTCACCATGTTGTACAATAGATCTCCTGAACTTATTCCTCTTGTCAAACTGAAATTTTGTATCCTTTGACCAACATCTCCCCAGTCCCTTTCCTCCCACCGTTGCCCCATGGAAACCATTACTCTACACTTTGCTTCTATGAGTTTGACTTTTTAAGATTCTATATATAAATAAAATCATGCAGTTTTGTCTTTTTTAATTTTACTTTTAATTGGTAAATATATATATTTGTGGGGTACAATGTGATGTTTTGATACCTGTATACATTATGGAATGATATAATCAGGCTAATAAACATATCTATCACATACTTATCATTTCTTTGATAAGAAATGGTGAGAACATTTAAAATCTGATATTTTAGTAACTTTGAAATATAGAATACGTTATTATTAACTACAGTCACTATGCTGTGCAAATGGAACACCTGAACTTACTCTTCCTAGCTGAATTTTGTACCCCTTGACTAATATATCTCCCCTTTCCCTGTGTCCCTCCCCACAAGTCTGGTAACCACTATTCTATTTCTATGAGTTGGCATACTGACCTTTCTGGAGGGCTCACCTTAAATTTGAAATAATGACTTCAAGTGCATTATCAAAGAACTCCATCAATGAAGACAAAACTCTATTGCATCCCTAAACTGATCCCACAAAGGGCCCTGTGAGTCAGTTGACCTGTGCATGACATCCTCTCAGGTATTTCCAAAGTCCCCAAGAAGGCTTGAGATTCATGGGCACTGAAAGCAGCTATTTAATTGTATGGGATGCACATTTACTTTTTAGTACCAAAGTTGTCATAAAATGTTATTTTTCTAGAGGCTAAGTGATAGTGCTGTAAAAGTTTTCTTTTGGTGTGTGCTTGCTGTAGGAGGTAATTTCTTATACTTGAACAATGTGACAGGCATAAAATCATGTGAGGCATCCCAAACCTTAACCTCCTTCTGTTTCCTGAACAGTCTTTGCTGCGAGCCTTAGCAAGATGAAGACCTCTATGTGGTTAAAAGGGTGGATTCTTTTTCTTTCCTTGGTTTTTACTACTTCTGGGCTATTGTCAGGTAGATGAGAAACTTGGGTTTATGGTGGTTTGATTGCATGACTGCCAAGGGATGGGGTTTCTAGTCTGGTGTTATTGACAGGATCATTTGTTGCTAATATCCAAGACCAGAGGGTCTCAGTCTGACCAGTTAACTGGTTAATGTCTTTGGAAAACGGTGTTTTTTTCAAGTTCATCACTCTATTTGGTTTATGCCTCATCCTCCTTTTTAACACCTTCCTGAATTCTTTTGAACTATGTTCTTAGCCCATCTCCTTTCCTTGGTTTTCCATTTTAGTGCTCTGATCAAACTTCTACTTTAAATCTTCCTCCCTTTGACACCAAATGTCTGACTGTTCCTCTAAGGCCGTCACAATATTTTGTGATTTGGTGAGGTGTGAGTGATCTCTCTCAGGTAGCTAAAGAAACTCTGGCTAAAGAGAGAACTCAGGTGCCATCAGCATGTTTTCAACCCTTCCTTTGAACCTGGAAAATTATTTTTTTAGGAGACTGCCATGGACTAATTGGAGGATTCATTAATTACTTCCTTTTTGCACTCTCAGACTCATTCAGAAAATACTTGAGTACTCGTGACATGTCAGGTACCATGCTCAGTGCTTGGAATTCAAAAAGGTGTGGCTCCTGTCTTAGGGGAGTTTGCAGTCTAGTAGGGGAGACAGACATTAATTGAATCATCCATATGTAAACTGCTAAGGATCAGAGTACAGGGAAATGTGGACACTTCAACAGGAGGCTTGACCCACTCTGGAAGGACCATTCTCCTTGGGAAATGATGAGTTAAGATCTTCAGCAAAAGCGAGAGTTGAGTTGGTTGATGTGCAGGGGAGTGGATGGGAGGCAAGTGCCAGGCAGTGGGAACAGAAGGTACAAGAGCCCTGAGGTGGGGATGTATGTGAGGTGGTGCAAGATAAAGAGTATGGTGGGATCATGGAGAGAAAGGGGAGCTGCCATGAGATGAGACTTGCTTAGTAGGCAGTGCAGAGAGGGCTGGAGGTGGCAGTGGCGTAAAGACAGGCCATTCTCCTTTAACCTACTTTTTTTTTTCTTTTTCTGTGGTAGAGTCTTGCTCTGTCGTGCCCAGGCTAGAGTGCAGTGGTGCGATCTGGGCTCACTGCAACCTCCGCCTCCTGGGTTCAAGTGATTCTTCCATCTCAGCCTCCTGAGTGGCTGGGATTACAGGTGCCTGTCACCACACCTGGCTAATTTTTTTGTACTTTTATTAGAGACTGGGTTTCACCATGTTGGCCAGGCTGGTCTTGAACTCCTGCCTCAGGTGATCCATCCACCTCGGCCTCCTAAAATGCTGGGATTACAAGCATGAGCCACCTTGCCAGGCACCTTTAGCTTTTGACAATGGTGCACCTTGTCAATAACAATGACACATTTGCCTAGTGTCTGGCCCACTAATTGTGATTTTGTGATCCTATTGCTAGTGTTCCTCAAAGTGTGGTCAGTGGAGCATCTAGTTTGAGTGGTGGCAGAGAATACTTACAGGCCATAAAAAGGAGAAAACAAACAAACAAACTCAGGTTGTAGAACCAGGAGAAATAACAGGATAAACTCTAAAAGAATTGCCTAATTGGCATCTCCACTGAGAAGTAGCAGGCATCTTAAGAATTTGAGAGCTGAGGCCAGGCGTGGTGGCTCACGCCTGTAATCCCAGCCTTTGGGAGGCCACGGCGGGCAGATCACTCAAGGTCAAAAGATCGAGACAATCCTGGCCAACATGGTGAAACCCTGTCTCTACTAAAAATGCAAAAATTAACTGGATGTGGTGGCACACACCTGTAGTCCCAGCTACTCAGGAGGCTGAGGCAGCAGAATCGCTTGAACCCAGGAGGCGGAGGTTGCAGTGAACCGAGATCACGCCACTGCACTTTAGCCTGGCGTCAGAGCAAGACTCTGTCTCAAAAAAAAAAGTTCAGAACTGACTGAATTTATAATTTTGTCCCCAGCCCCAGCCTGCTCCCCTCCTGGATCCCCTCCTGGCTCCCCTCCTGTATCTCAGTACACGGCAGCTGTTTTCATCTCTACACCATATTCAGTCTGGCAGAAAGTTCTGTGGCTTCTACCACTACTAACTTGTGACAGGCTGCTGTATTTCTCAGATAATTGCAGCTGTTGCCTAACTGGTATTTTTTCCTTGGTCCTTGAGAATCTATTAAATATTCTCAAGACAGCAGCCAGAGCCATTCTGTTAATACCCAGTGTATTTATTTTCCAAATCTGCTGTAACAAAGCACCACAAATTGGGGGGCTTAAAACAACACAGGGTGCTTAAAAAAACTGGGGGGCTTATTCTTTCACAGTTCTGAAGGCTAGAAGTCCAAAATAAAGGTGTCAGCAGGGCCATGATTCCCCTGAGAATCTTAGCAGAGTCCTTTCTTCCTTCTTCCTAATTTCCAATTGTTCCTCCAATCCTTGGCTTCCTTACCCTGCAGCCATATCACTGCAATCTCTGCCACTTATCACATAGTGCTTTCCTTTGTGTGTCTGCGTCTTCATGAGGCTGTGCTCCTTCTTCTTATAAGGGCATCAGTTACATTGGATTAAGTGCCCACCCTACTCCTGCATGACCTCATCTTAACTAATCACATAGGCAATGACCCTATTTCCAAACAAGGTCATATTCTAAAGTACTAGGGGTTAGGACTTCAATATATCTTTTTGGGAGACACAATTCAATCTATAATACCAAGTTAGATCATGGCATCCTCTGCAGAAGACCCCTCATTCTATATCTATCCAGGTCACAGTAAAAGTCATATGGTCTTTATTATGGCCCACAAAGCCCTAGCACTCTGTATTGTCTCCCAGGGAAGAGGGCTAGAAAGTGCCATCCCTTATCTACCTTGCTGCTCCATCCTCCTAACTCAACTTTAATTACCTGATGTCCTTGCCATTCATTGAATGCATGCTCCTGCCTTAGAACCTTTGCATCTGATGTTCCTTCTGCCTGGAATTCTCCTTGGCCCTCTGTATTAGTCTGTTTTCATGCTGCTGATAAATACATACCTGAGACTGGGCAATTTACAAAAGAAAGAGGTTTAATAGACTTACAGTTCCACGTGTGTGGGGAGGCCTCACAATCATGTCAGAATGTGAAAGGCACATCGTTTTTTTTTTTTTTTTTTGAGATGGAGTCTCGCTCTGTCCCCCAGGCTGGAGTGCAGTGGCGCGATCTCGGCTCACTGCAAGCTCCGCCTCCCGGGTTCACGCCATTCTCCTGCTTCAGCCTCCTGAGTAGCTGGGACTACAGGCGCCCGCCACCACACCCGGCTAAGTTTTTTTGTATTTTTTAGTAGAGATGGGGTTTCACCGTGTTAGCCAGGATGGTCTCGATCTCCTGACCTTGTGATCCACCCGCCTCGGCTTCCCAAAGTGCTGGGATTACAGGCTTGAGCCACCGCGCTCGGCCAAGGCACATCTAACATGGCAGCAGACAAGAGTTTGTGCAGGAAACTCCCGTTTCTAAAACCATCAGATCTCATGAGTCTTATTTACTATAATGAGAACAGCATGAGAAAGACCCTCTCCCATGATTCACTTACCTCCCACCAGGTTCCTTCCATGACACTTGGAAATTCTGGGAGTTACAATTCAAGATGAGATTTGGGTGGGGACACAGCCAAACCATATCATTCCACCCCTGGGCCCTCCCAAATCTCATGTCCTCACATTTCAAAACCAATCATGCCTTCCCTACAGTCCTCCAAAGTCTTATCTCATTTCAGTATTAACTCAAAAGTCCACAGTCCAAAGTCTCATTTGAGACAAGGCAAGCCCCTTCTGCCTATGATCCTGTAAAATCTAAAGCAAGTTAGTTACTTCCTAGATACAATGGGGGTACAGGCATTGGGTAAATACAGTCATTCCAAATGGGAGAAATTGGCCAAGACAAAGGAGATATAGGCCCCACGCAAGTCCCAAATCCAACAGGGCAGTCAAATCTTAAAGCTCCAAAATGATCTCCTTTGACTCTATGTCTCAAATCCAGGTCACATTGATGCAAGAGGTGGGCTCCCACAGTATTGGGCAGCTCTGCCTCTGTGGCTTTGCAGGGTACAGCCTCCCTCCTGGCTGCTTTCATGGGCTGGCGTTGAGTATCTGTGGCTTTTCCAGGTACACAGTGCAAGCTGTTGGTGGATCTAACATTCTGGGATCTGTAGGATGGTGGCCTTCTTCTCACAGCTCCACTAGGTGTTGCCCCAGTAGGGACTCTGTGTGGGGGCTCTGACCCCACATTTCCCTTCTGCACTGCCCTAGCAGATGTTCTCTATGAAGACCCTGCTTCTGCAGCAAACTTTTGCCTGGGTAACTAGATGTTTCCACACATCTTCTGAAATGTAGGTGGAAGTTTCCAAATCCCAGTCCTTGACTTCTGTGCACTCACAGGCTCAACACCACATGGAAGCTGCCAAGGCTTGGGGCTTGCATCCTCTGAAGCCATGCCAAAACTCTGCATTCAGCCATGGCTGGAGTGGCTGGGATGCAGGGCACCAAGTCCCTAAACTGCACAGAGCATGGGAACCCTGGGCCCCCAGCCCACAAAACCACTTTTTCCTCCTAGGCCACTGGGCCTGTTATGGCAGGGGCTGTGGTGAAAACCTCTGATATGCCCTAGAGACATTTTCCACATTGTCTTGGGGATTAACACTTGGCTCCTCATTAATTATACATATTTCTGCAGCCGGCTTGAATTTCTCCTCAGAAAATGGGATTTTCTTTTCTATCACATTGTAAGGCTGCAAATTTTCCAAACTTTTATGCTGTGCTTCTGTTATAAAACTGAATGCCTTTAACAGTATGCAAGTCATCTCTTGAATGTTTTGCTGCTAGAAATTTCTTCTGCCAGATACCCTAAATCATCTCTTTCAAGTTCAAAGTTCCACGAATCTCTAGAGCAGGGGCAAAATGCTGCCAGTCTCTTTGCTAAAATGTTAAGAGTCACCTTTGCTCCAGAGTCACCTTTGCTCCAGTTCTCAACAAGTTCCTCATCTCCATCTGAGATCACCTCAGCCTGGAATTCCTTGTCCATATCATTATCAGTATTTTGGTCAAAGCCATTCAGCAAGACTCTAGGGAGTTCCAAACGTTCCCACATTTTCCTGTCTTCTGAGCCCTCCAAACTGTTCCAACCTCTGCCTGTTGCCCAGTTCCAAAGTTGCTTCCACATTTTCAGGTATCTTTTCAGCAGTGCCCCACTCTACTGGTACCAATTAACTGTATAAGCCCATTTCATGCTGCTGATAAAGACATGCCCCAAGACTGGGCAATGTACAAAAGAAAGAGGTTTAATAGACTTACAGTTCCACATGGCTGGGGAGGCCTCACAATCATTGTGGAAGGTGAAAGGCAGGTCTCACATGGTGGCAGGCAAGAGAAGAGATCTTGTGTGGGGAAACTCCCATTTTTAAAACCATCAAATCGCGTGAGACTTATTCACTATCACAAGAACAGCACAGGAAAGACCTGCCCCCATGATTCACTTACCTCTCACCAGGTTCCTCCCACAACATGTGGGAATTACAGTACAAGATAAGATTTGGGTGGGGACACAGCCAACCCATGTCACACCTTTTCCTCTATGATCAGTTCCTTTGACAACTAAAGAACTCTGCTTAAATGAGGCCTTCCCTGACTCAAAAAATTACTTAAAATCCTATCCTCTGTCCTACATTAAACTTTTTACCTGCCTTATTCTTTCACAGTATTTATCACCATCTAATGTGATATATAATTTGCTTATTTTTTATTTTCTGTATTCTTTCCTTATAATGTCACCTACATGAGGTTTCCAGTGCATAGAAGAGAACTGGCACATGATATATTTCATTTACTCTGACATGGACAGTTTTTTACACAGTAAAAAAATCAGAATTCTAGAAAGTTTATAATCAGCTATATATAATGATTGGTCAGTGGACAGGAATGCTGTAGCTGTCATCATTTGCACATGGAGAACTTGGTCTGAAACTTTCTGTTGGCGCCTCTTGGTAAGGTCAGAGAGTGCTGGCATAAAAATTTGAGAAATAAGTACCACCAATTGGCATACAATCTGGAGAGAAGAATGAAGCATTCTTTTAAGAGATATTGCATCACCAATGGTGGTGATGGCTCAAAGAGAGATATATTTGTGGGGAAACAGGAACATTGATGACTGCGATCCAAGAAGTGATTTAGAAGAGTGAGACTCACTGTAAAAATATTTTAGGGTTACTTCAACCAATTAATTTTGTTTATACTTGCTTTTTGTTACACTTGCTTTTGTATACAGCACAAGAGTGATATGATTAAAGATGTCCATAAGAGCTCTTTCAATTTTTATAAAATTCAAAGACTAAGTAGTAAAATGTGCCTGATTCATTGGTAGTTTCTTTAATCCTAAAGATATAAAGTTTCCTTAATCTTCGTATGAAAAATAGTGGTATAGTTAAAGCTTAGATTCAATGAAAAATGGGAGGAGATGCTCAAATATTTGTTAGATGAGTGAATAAAAATTCACCCCAGACTTTTTTTTTCCTTCCAAAGGGCCCTGTGGCTTCCTTCCTCTAAACCCATTAAACAGTGCCATCTGCAGGGAAGGCAGCTCATGACATCATGTTTAAATATTAGAAGAACAATAACAAGGTAAAAAAATTGGCAATGCCACCATTCAGCTCTCTGTGAGTATCTCTTAAAACTAGAAGTTTATTCTGACCCATCCATGAGTCAGATCTAAGATAAGCAGTTATTATCTTTAGGCAAGACTGAGTCGGCACATCAGATAGATAAAGGAAAGAGAGAGAAAGAGTTAAAATGTTTGTGCAGCCTATATTTTTCTGGCTAACAGCCACTAGGAAAAGCTGGATTGAGAAAGACCTACATTAACTTTCTTGTGTTCTAGTAACTAAACTTTTAGGCAAAGCCTAAGACTGTCCTGTTTAAACGAACTGTTTCTATCTAATAAGAAATTATAATGATATGGTATGATGGCAAAGCTATTTTAGAGGCCTGGACTCTCCATTAACCACAGCAGTTTAGCAGAGAACAAGGTCTCTGCCACAATCCATTATCCTAAATTAGCACGTGGGTGTTGGAGATGGGGGATGGCATGACAGCTCCATATGAGTATTAGGGGTTAATAAATGGAAAAGGCTGCTGCTGCTAAATCCAGCCCTATAATTACATTTTGGTCTCTGGGTCAGTTCCAGGTCACTAGCATCTCAACTAGCCTAAAACCCATATAATGCTTATTTGTAATTTTAATTTTTAGTTCCGTATTAATGGCATTTTATATGCCCCCAGTCATAATGGAACAAGAGTGAATTTGGGCATCAGAGATGCTGATTTTACTACTGATGGAATCTCAGGCCTACGTGCTGTCTGAATGCTCATGCAGTGGTTGTAGATACTGTACTTTACCTTTTAGATGGTGAGGGTGTTGAAAAGGTATTTTTTTTTCATTTCCATGTAGGTGCTTTTGTGACCATAAAATCAGTTTTACAATTAAAGTGATGCCTACATTCCTGCAGTGCATCTCTTTTCAAGAGCTTTGTTTAATAATCTCTACATGCAATAAAGGAATTGCATCTCTCTCTTTTGTGCCTCTCATGGACTTTCTTCCTTCCCCCGGTGCCCTCTGCTGCATTCTTCCTTCTTTGACTGCCAGTCCTGGTTTCTGACAATGTAACCTTGGCTGGAACTTAGGTGATGATTTTGCTTTCCTTGTTTGGTTGAGTAAACTTGTAACCCCAGGAACATGTGGAAAAAAATAGGTATAAAGTGTGCATGTTGTGTTTATAGGGATGTGGTGAAACATTTTCCAGTCACTATGCTGCTTTATGGGTGCTGTGACTTAAGATGCTTAAGGGGATTTGAGCTACTAAATATCTAAGTTTCAGTTTGTATTTATGAGTGTGATTTAAGTCATTGGGAGAGTTTATTCTAATTAGTAAGTCTGCTTTGTTAGAAATTTGAAACATTTGAGAGAATCAGATATATTAAATATGTAACTATACTTAAAATATCTGAGGATATTGACATTAAATTGCATCAGATGAGTAGGGAAGACATCATTTGTAAACTTGGATTAATTGTACATTAATCAAAGAAAAAGTAAAAAAAGTAATGATTTTAATACTTGAAAAAATAGGATTTATAGGTTGAGATACTTTAAAAAGTTTTACATATGTTTCATCAATATAATACTTATTAGAACAAAATAAAATTAAAATTTTCTTGCACAGAAATGCCTTTAAGATAGTAAAATGTCAGTAACAAATATCACATACTTAAAATTTAGTTCCATAGAAATATGTGATCTGGGAAACTGCAGTTTCTTAACAAGGCTGTGCTTTCTTGGAGAAAATGTATGGAAACAGGACATTGATAGCTAGGAACACCTTCTCCAAAAATGACTGGGTATCTTATGATGCCTTTGGGAAAAGGCATCTACTGAGGTGGTCATATGATTATTCTTTTTTATTCGGTTTATATTCACTAGAAATTGTAATTTTCACTGGATATTGAAGCCTAGATTGTTATTTTTTAAGTCAGCATTTTGAACATGAATTTTTGTCTACTGTTCTCCCTATTTCCTTCTGATACATCAGCCTTCATTCTTATTACTCTCCAATTGTAATGTGTCTATATTAGTCTGTTCTCACACTACTATAAATACATATCTGAAACTGGTTACTTATAAAGAAAAGAAGTTCTGCAGGCAGTACAGGAAATATGGCTGGGAGGCATCAGGAAACTTACAATCATGGCAGAAGGCGAAGGGGAAGCAAGCATGTCTTACATGGTGGGAGCAGGAGAAAGAAAGAGTGAAGGGGGAGGTGCTACACACCTTTAAACAACCAGATCTTGTGAGAACTCACTCACTATCATGAAAGCAGCAAGGGGGAAATACATTACCATGATTGAATCACCTCCCCACCAGGCCCCTCCTCCAGCACTGGGGATTACAATTTGACATGAGTTTGGGAGGGCCACAAATCCAAGCCATATCAGTGTCTTTTTAAAAAAAGCTTGGGAATCTTTTTATATTTCTTGTTTGCAGCAGGAAAATTGTCTTTGCACTGGCACTTTAGTTGCACCTTGTATAGGCATTGCATTTCTCCATCAGGTGGGCAGCTTCTGGATGGTCTGGTTTATGATATGACCTGTGGAACTCTTGATCATGTGTCCTGCCCTGCACTTCTTGTTATAAATGAGTCCATTGGTCTGGCATGATGTTATCTGGTATCATGCTGGTGGTGAATTAAATACTCTAAGCCCTTGGATAGTAGTGTTGACTAAGGCCCTGCAGACAAACCTATACCTGGTAGGCATATGATGTGGTCAAATTGTCACCAAGTTGCTGATTGGTCTCTTCCAGTGATATGTGATCTCAGGGACTTAGGGTTATTGTCAGGTTGGACATTTGGTAACAGCGGTAACTCGATTAGTTTTGTTAAGTCAGAACCCATGCTATTAAGCCAGATATAGCCTCCATCCTTGCCACCACAGCTATTCTGTTTGGGTTCTCTTGTGCTAACAATGGCATGGCTAATGACAGAAACTGGCCAATGTCAACTGGCCAAGTCATTTTGTCCACCTATTTGTATAGAAATTCTTCCATGGTGGATGCTCCTTGGTGGATATTAACAAGGGTTATGCTTTCATCTTCATGGTGGGAGATGCAAGACACAATTATTTGTCCTTTACAGGAAATGTCCCAGCATGTCCCAGACCACCGGACACAAAAATTTCAATCTGTTTGGGCCTCTGAAATTTTATAGGGTTTATCTCCTCTCTTTGGAACTCAGGTGTCTTACCAATTCTCCCAATGTACCAGCTACTTCTTGCTTATCCAGCTCAGTTAGTACAATATTGTCAGTATAGTGTGCCACTGTGATATTCCTTGATATGTTCACATGGCCCAGGAATCTTTGGAATATATTATGGGAGGGGGTAGGAGTGTTAATATATCTTTGAGATAACACTATACATGTATAGTGTTGTCTGTTCCAAGTAAATGCAGTTTCTGATTGACCAGATCCAGGCAGCAGCTGCATACTGTGTCCTTGAGTTTGGGGTATCATCTCTAGCAGAAATACTACCCTTGGCACAGAGCATTTAAGAAGGACTGCAGGTTTCAGGTGGGAACTTGTGAGTGTTAGAGCTATGGCTCCAGAAAGGTTTAATTCTTGCTTCAGCACTGGGAACTGAGAAAATGGGTAACCAAAGTATCACTCGATTAGAATCAGGGACAGTAACTAAACTGATAAATGCTTTTTATGAGCATGCAAATTTCTATTTCATACCAACATCCCAACCTAAAAGTTTCCACCAGGCAGATTTGTTTGGAGAGGCAGAGGAAGAGGAGGGAGAGTGGGTAGAGAGAGAGAGTGAGCTTTTACTTGGGCTCACTCTCTTTCTTTCCTCCTGTTATAGCTACACTACTCTGAATGTTGCCAATGCTCTTTCCAATTCCTTTCTTCCCCTTCTCTCTTAAACTCATTTCAATTGGACTTTCACTCCCACCCTGCACCCAAACTGCTTTTTATTAAAATCAGCAATTGCTCTTCACATTGCTTCAGCAATTACTCTCCACATTTGCTAAGTCCAGGGATTGCTTTGCAATCCTCATCTTGCTTTATCTATCAGTAGCACTTGTCTATTTTCACTACTAGTATTCTATCTTGACTTCCAGGCTGCCACACTTTCTTCATTTCCTCCAGTATAACCTCACCGACTTCTTCTTAGTGTTTGCTGGTTCCTGTTCATCTCCCTGACCCCTAACATTAGAAGGCCCCAGAGCTCAGCCTTTAACACTTAATCCAACTTTTACTAAATTATAGACTGTAATGATAGACATCTAATGAGATAAAATAAACTTTATTCATAAACATTGTCTTATATAAAGTTAAAAATGAAGAGAGTGCCTACTAAAAAGGGATTGTGAAAAGGTACCTGGCTATTGGGAGTAAGCCCCCAAAATCTGGCCATAAACTGGCCTCAAAACTGGCCATAAGTAAAATTTCTGCAGCACTGTAACATGTCCATAATGACCCTAATGCACAAGCTGGAAGGTTGTGGGTTTATGGGAATGAGGGCAAGGAACACCTGGCTTGCCCAGGGTGGAAAACTGCTTAAAGGCATTTTTAAGCCACAAACAAAAGCATGAGCAATCTGTGTCTTAAGGGCATGTTCCTGCTGCAATTAATTCAGCCCATCCCTTCATTTCCCATACGGGATACTTTTAGTTAACTTAAAGCTATAGAAACAATGCTAATGACTGGTTTGCTGTTAATAAATATGTGGGTAAATCTCTGTTTAGGGCTCTCAGCTATGAAGGCTGTGAGACCCCTGATTTCCCACTTCACACATCTATATTTCTTTGTGAGTGTCTTTAATTCCTCTAGCGCCACTGGGTTAGGGTCTCCCTGACTAAGCTGGTCTCAGCAAGTGGCGCCTAACATGGGGCTCAAATCCAGGTCGAAGGGTCGCTGGAGTGATGGTTGGAACGGAAGACACCCAAGTACTCTTAAAGCAATCCCCATGGTGAGTAAGAAGGGGAGCTCAGAAGTATCAGGGTAACAATGGGACAGGTTTGGGGTCTGGTTTGTTCCACCTTGGAACTTTTTCACAGTGATGAGGAGAAAGAACAAGAGTATAGCAAAGTAACAGAAGAGGTTACAGAGCATGTTTATTTGCCAGCTAAAGCTAAAGTGGCAAAGGAAGGAGAGGTTCATCCCTACCCTTCTGCACCCCCTCATTATTATTTTGAAGAAAATGACCCCTGAGATCTTTCTTTTCTGGAGGACACTGGGCAAAAAGTAGTTGCCCCAGTGACTGTTTCAGCAGTGCCTCGAGCAACAGCTCTTAGTTCTATTCAGGCAGGAATTCAGCAAGCTAGACAAGAGGGTGACTTAGAGGCTTCACAGTTCCCTGTTAGAATACACCCCCCCAGATTAAGAGGGAAATATTACAGCTGCATTTGAGCCTTTTTCTTTTAAATTACTCAAAGAATTAAAACAAGCTATAAATGAGTATGGACCAGGTTCTCCTTTTGTAATGGGACTGTTAAAGAATGTTACTGTTTCCAGTCGGATGATTCCTACTGACTGGGATGCTCTTACTCAAGCTTGTCTAACTCCTGCTCAGTTCTTACAATTTAAAGCTTGGTGGGCAGATGAAGCTTCCATTCAGGCTGCTTGCAATGCCCAGGACCAACCTCAAATTAATATAACTGCAGACCAACTTTTGGGGGTTGGTGGCTGGGCTAGGTGCACAACTCATCATGCAGGATGATGCCATAGAACAGCTTAGAGGAGTGTGCATTAGAGCTTGGGAAAAAATCACTTCAGGTGGGGAACAATACCCTTCCTTTAGTGCTATAAAACAGGGACCTAGGGAACCACATGTTGATTTTATAGCTTGGTTACAGGAGTCTCTTGAAAAGATGATTGCAGATTTGGCTGCTCAGGATATAGTGTTGCAGTTATTAGCTTTTGACAATGCTAATCCCAATTGCCAGGCTGCTCTGTGACCTATTAGAGGGAAAGCACATTTAGTTGATTATATCAAGGCCTGTGATGGTATCGGAGGTAATCTGCATAAAGCTACTTTGTTGGCACAGGCAATGGCAGGACTGAGAGTGGATAAAGGAAATACTCCATTTCCTGGAGCTTGTTTTAACTGTGGGAAGCATGGTCATACTAAAAAAGAATGTAGAAAAAATCAGCAAGTCAGGCCGCCAGATAGGTGAAAAAAGAAAACTGTTGAGCCTGAGATATGTCCAAAATGTAAAAAAGGAAAACATTGAGCTAGTCAGTATCACTCTAAGTTTGATAAAGAAGGAACCCAATTCAGGAAACGCCATGAGGGGCCCATCCCAGGCCCCATTCTAAACCAGGGCATTTCCATCTCAGGCCATTCCCTCACCCCATAAAATGTCTGTCCCCTGCCACAGCCAGTAGTGCCACAATAGATTTATGCTGCACAAAAGCTGTGAGCCTTCTGCCTGGGGAACCCCTGCAAAAGGTCCCAACAGGAGTCTATGGACCCTTGCCAGCAGGGACTATAGGATTACTTTTAGGAAGGTCTAGTTTAAGTTTAAAAGGTGTACAAATACATACAGGAGTCATTGATTCAGATTGCAATGGGGAAATTCAAATTGTTGTATCTACTTCTGTTCCCTGGAAAGCAGAGCCAGGAGAGTGCATAGCACAGCTCCTGATTGTGCTGTATGTGGGAATGGGAAGAAGTGAAATTAAATGAACAGGAAGATTTGGAAGCACAAATAAACAAGGCAAAGCAGCTTATTGGGTAAATCAAATTACTGATAAATGTCCTACCTGGGAAATAACTATTCAAGGTAAGAAATTTAAAGGTTTGGTAGATACAGGAGTGGACATTTCAATCATTTCTCTACAGCACAGGCCGTCCATGTGGCCAATTCAGCCCACTCAATTTAACATAGTTGGAGTTGGTAAAGCTGCTAAGTATATCAAAGTGGTTATATTTTGCATTGTGAAGGGCCCAACAGACAACCTGGAACTATTCAACCAATTATAACTTCTGTACCTATAAATTTATGGGGAAGAGATTTATTACAACAATGGGGAGCACAAGTTCTAATTCCAGAACAATCATATAGCCCTTAAAGTCAAAATACAATGCATGAAATGAGGTATGTCCCTGCTATGGGACTAGAAAAAAATTTGCAAGGTTTGAAAGAACCGCTTCAAGCAGAAAAACAAAGTTCCCGCCAAAGATTAGGAAATAATTTTTGATGGTGGCCATTGTTAAGCCTCCAGAACCTATACCTTTAAAATGGTTAACAGATAAGCCAATTTGGATAGAATAATGGCTGCTAGGTAAAGAGAAATTGGAGGCTTTAGAGAAATTAGTTGCTGAACAATTAGAAAATGGGCACAGAGCTCCAACATTTTCCCCTTGGAATTCTCCAGTTTTTGTAATTAAGAAAAAAATCAGGTAAATGGAAAATGTTAACTGACTTAAGAGCCATCAATTCAGTTACACAACCTATGGGAGCATTACAGCCAGGATTGCCTTCTCCTGCTATAATTCCAAAAAATTGACCTTTAATAGTCATAGATTTAAAAGACTGTTTCTTTACTATCCCCTTGGCTGAGCAAGACTGTGAATGGTTTGCATTTACAATCCTGCAGTAAACAACCTGCAGCCTGTTAAGTGTTATCATTGGAAAGTGTTGCCGCAGGGCATGTCAAACAGCCCAACAATTTGCCAGACATACGTGGGGCAAGCAATTGAACCTACTTGTAAAAAATTTTCACAGTGTTACATTATTCGCTATATGGATGATATAATTTGTGCTACCCCCACTCGAGAAATATTACTCCAATGTTATGATCACTTGCAAAATTTGATTTCTCATGCTGGTTTAATTATAGCTCCTGACAAAATTCAGACTACTACTCCTTACTCCTACTTGAGCGCCTTAGTAAATGACACTACCATTGTGCCACATGAAGTAACCATACATAGGGATCAACTAAAAACATTAAATGACTTTCAGAAATTACTAGGGAATATTAATTGGATACGACCTGCTCTAGGCATTCCTACCTATGCCATGAGTAATCTGTTTTCTATCCTTAGAGGAAATCCTAGTCTCACTAGCCCTCGGCAATTAACAAAGGAGGCGGAGGCAGAGTTAAACAACTGATTGAGAAGTAAGTCTATAAAGCTCAGATAAATAGAATAGATCCAGAGAAGACTCTAGATTTGCTAATCTTTTCAACTCAGCGTTCACCTACTGGTGTTACTGTCCAAGAACAGGACTTAGTATACTGAGTGGCTTTTTCTTCCACATACTAATTCATATACTCTAACTCCTTATTTAGATCAAATCACTACTATGATAGGGATTGGGAGAACTCGGATTGTTAAATTACATGGATATGATCTTAGAAAAATTATTGTCCCTCTCATGAAAGCACAAATACAGCAAATTTTTATAAATAGTCTTACTTGGCAAAAAGTAGCTGACTTTGTGGGTATTCTCGATAACCATTTTCCTAAAACGAAGCTGTTTCTGTTTTTGAAATTAACTAATTGGATTCTCCCTAAAATAACTAAATTTAACCGAATTGAAGGTGCTGAGAATGTTTTTACAGATAGGTCTAGTAATGGTAAAGCTTCTTATTCTGGCTCAAAAAGTAAAGTTTTTCAGACGTCCTATACTTCAGCTCAAAAAGTGGAGCTTGTAGCTGTAATTGAGATATTGACTGCTTTTGATATGCCTATTAATGTGATTTCTGATTCTTCATATGTGGTTCATTCCACACAGTTAATTGAAAATGCTCAGTAACGATTTCATACAGATAAACAACTAATGACAAAAACAAAAAAGGAGGAAAAATAGGGATTACAGGACAGCCCATACACAATTGAATCAGCATTATTTGGCGAAAAGATCCAATAACAAAAAGTTGGGAAATAGGTAAAATAATAACTTGGAGTAAAGGTTATGCTTGTATTTCTCCAGGCCAAAATCAACAGCCGATTTTGATACCATCAGGACACCTAAAACCTTATCATGAGCCAGATGCCAAAGAAGAGATTCCAGGAGGTTCCCGAGGACCTCCCGGTTGCAGCCATGTTGAGACTGATGCTGAGGAGGACCCCAGCTGCCATGAGCAACGCCGTCAAACACAGCCACCCACCTGGGCACAGATCAAGAAGCTGTACAGATGACAGAAGAAAACCTGAGGAAAGCAGGACAACCAGTCACGATGAATAATTTAATGGTAGCTATGATAGTGGTTATCACCACTGCCATTAAATATTCCTTCATAAAGGGCTGGCAATAATGCCTGGATGCAGTCACTCTATGACACAGTTACACATGCTTTCTGATCTCAGTATTTACCATAATAAATCTGCTCCTATAATTGAGGCATACTGCCCTCAAAAACCTATTTGTAAACAGGATTGGACCCAGTTAAAAAAAAATGAACGTACTCGTTTAGGAAGATTGCTTTGCAGAACAGGCAGAGGTGCTGCACAATGATTCCTATGGAATCATTATTAATTGGTCCCCTAAGGGGATGTTTAGCTTGAATTGCACCTCTCAGTCTGCATGCCATGGTCACACTATGTTCAGATGATCTGAACAAAATGGTCAGATGATAGCTATAATAAAAAGTACAGCAAAAGTTCCTATTATCTGGAACCATGGTGATATAGTGGCATCTCAACCTCAAATGATATGGCCTGCTCTAGGAGCAAAACATAAGGATTTGTGGAAACTATTAAATGCTCTTAATAAGATCAAAATTTGGGAAAGAATAAAAAAGCATCTAGAAGGACACTCTACAAACTTGTTTTTGAGTATAACAAAATTTAAAAAAAAACAAATATTTAAAGCATCCCAGGCACACCTGACCTTAATGCCAGGAACTGGAGTGCTTAAAGGAGCTGCAGACAAATTAGCAGCTAGTTAACCCATTAAAATGGATAAAAACACTTAAAAGCTCTGTGAT
The DNA here is from genome assembly GCF_000001405.40 of Homo sapiens. NCBI lineage: Eukaryota > Metazoa > Chordata > Mammalia > Primates > Hominidae > Homo > Homo sapiens. Next base: position 18,781 of record NW_019805498.1, read on the forward strand.
TACAATGATAATGGTGCTTTTAATCTATGTTGTTTGTCTTTATGTAGTCTGCAGATTCAGATCCCGACTCCTGCGAGAAGTAGCTCACCGTGACAAAGCTGCCCTTGCTTTTATCTCTTTGCAAATCAAAGAAGGGAGACATATTGGGAGGAAGCCTCTCAAAATCTGGCCATAAACTGGCCCCAAAGCTGGCCATACATAAAATCTCTGCAGCACTGTAACATGTCCATAATGGCCCTAACACCCAAGCTGGAAGGTTGTGGGTTTATGGAAATGAGGGCAAGGAACACCTGGCCCGCCCAGGGCAGAAAACCGCTTAAAGGCATTTTTAAGCCACAAACAAAAGCATGAGTGATCTGTGTCTTAAGGGCATGTTCCTGCTGCAATTAATTCGGCCCATCGCTTCATTTCCTGTAAGGGAGCTTTTAGTTAATTTAATATCTATAGGAACAATGCTAATGGCTGGTTTGCTGTTAATAAATATGTGTGTAAATCTCTGTTCAGGGCTCTCAGCTCTAAAGGCTGTGAGACCCCTGATTTCCCACTTCACACCTCTATATTTCTGTGTGTGTGTCTTTAATTCCTCTAGAACCACTGGGTTAGGGTCTCCCTGACTGAGCTGGTCTCAGCACCTGGCCATTTCATTTAAAAGTAAATTATTTTCTCAAGTGGAAGACAGCCTATGGAATAATTAGTCCCAACTTCCTGAAAATGACTAAGTAGCTCATCTGATGCATAATCCTTAAGCAGTGATGGAAATTGGTGTCAAGATACGATTTGGTCAGAGTTGTATCTTAAAAAAATATGCAATGATGTTTTGGAGGGAAAGAGAGGGAATTGGATAAAGGAGGCCAGTTAAGAATGTGTGGTTGAGATACCAGCAATGGTAAGAGAGTGTCATGTGGAAGAGCAGAGAGTCCAAGGATGACTTGGTAGGAAATTCTAGTAGCTGACAAGTAGGACAAAGTAGGAGGAGAAGAGGAAATACTAATTCTGAGAAACCTCAGAGAAAATAAGAGAAACTTGAGTGGAACACTCTCTTTCACTCAATGGTATTAGCTGGACCCAAGGGGAAAAAAAGCATGGGACTAAGAAGAATTATTGAGTTCCAAACCTTTAGGATGGAGCCATCAGGTTCTAGCAACTACAAGCCCCATGACTCATGGTCACTGAGAAACTACCCCTTCAAGGCACCATAAGTCAAGGTCCACTCTTATACCCTGCCGAGAACACATCCAAGTCAAGGAAACAAGTAGAAATAGCAGTCCTCCTAATACCTCCAGGGTCTTCATTATGCTGGATCATGGACTAAGACCTCCTGAGGCAACAGCAGTTGGAAGGTGCTAGGAAGCCTGAAGTGTTTTTAGAGCCAGTGCCACACTCAGATGTATTCAATTAATCTAATTTTCAGAGACAAGAGAGAAAATCTTTCACATATTGTCAACTCCACCCCCTAGCCTTTTCTTGATCACTTTGGTATAGGAAACCATAGTGTTATAATAAGGGGACACAACAAAGTGTTATGTAGTGCCCATAGAACTGTTATTTAAGCACTTTTGAAATGCTTAAATAGATGTCATTTGCTGGCCAATTTTTAATACTATATAAGCTCATTTAGAGATGCAACAAAACTTTGACCTGATGATGTACTTGTACTTCACTACCCACTGCTAGAGCCATTTTTCACAGTCTCTGAATTATATTGTATCTATCTCTATAATAATAACATATATTAATCTTACATAAACACCCCCCCTGTAAGATTAAGAGCTTACTTAGAGTCCTGGCATGGTGGCTCACGCGTGTAATCTCAGCATTTTGGGAGGCTGAGGCGGGCGGATCATGAGGTCAGGAGATCGAGACCATCCTGTCTAACATGGTGAAACCCCATCTCTACTAAAAATACAAAAAATTAGCCAAGCGTGGTGGTAGGTGCCTGTAGTCTCAGCTACTCGGGAGGCTGAGGTAGGAGAATGGCTTGAACCCAGAAGGCGGAGCTGGCAGTGAGCAGAGATCGCACCACTGCACTCTAGCCTGGGTGACAGAGTGAGACTCCATCTCAAAAAAAAAAAAAAAAAAACTTACTTAGAATGCTAGTAGGAGCTGCACCAGTAGCTGCAGAATTTACCTAATATTTGCAAAAATCATCCTTGAAGAGTCCCACTCACTTAAGTGATTTCTGAATGTCCTCCTCGAGTCTAACCCTTAGATTTCTTTTTCTTTTCTAAAAAGGATTTACATATCCCAGAGACACTGTGGTGTGCGAGGCACTGACGGATGCTTCTAGGTGGACAATGTGTATCTCCTGAAGAGTCTGTTTAATCTGAAGATTCTCAAAATTCCTAATCTATGAAAAGCTTAAGTTTCCTTTAAGTTGATTCCTACGAAAATATTTATTAATTCCTCCAGTAGTGTTCCTTTTTCTACACTGAGATTTGTACAGGCTCAAGAATATGCTGTCACTGTGTTTTGGGATCTTTGGGGTGTCAATTTTATTTCCAGAAATTTCTGTGGCTGGTGGTGCCTTTGCCTGGGTTCTTGTCCTATGTTGAGGAAGAATGAGGTGCACAGACAAGTGAAGGGTGAGGAAGACCACAAGGAACTTTATTTAGTGTTAGAACAGCTCAGTGGAGACCAACAGTAGGTAGCTCCCCTCTGTAGGCAGGCAGGTCACTTGTGGAGCATTCCACTTTCAGCAGGGAGGGTAGCTTCTCTCTGCAGCTGGTCCTCTGGATGGCTACTGCTCTCAGCAGAGAGGAGGTCCTGGAGAGGGTAGCTCCTCTTCACAGGCAGGTTGTTTGGTTGTCTCTGTAGGTCTCTGAAGCTCTCAGCAGAGAGGGTAGCTCCTCTCTGCAGCTGGTCATCCTGTGTCTGTTCAACTCTGGCTGAACCCAGGGCTTTTATGGGCCTCAGAGGGGAGGAAGTGCATGCCAGTTGGCCCATGGGTGGCCGTGGGTGGGACTGGAAAAGGCACCAGCTCCCTGTTGGGTCTGTGGGACTGGCAGCCTGGTCCCCAAACTTCAGGCCCTCCCTGGCCTGAAGGAGGGACCTTACTGGAAACCCACCCCCTTCCACTTGGAACTCTGTCTGCCTCCTGCTGTTCATGGTGCCTGGGCTTGGCCTGACTTTGCTCTGAGATTGGAGCAGGTGCCGACAGCAGGGAGAAGCCAGATGGCAGGGGCAGGCACTTTCTAGCCTGTGAGAGCAGAGTGGGGGACCTTTCCCAGGCCCCAAGAGTGCAGGCATGCCTGAGGCTGCAGCCACAGTTTGGGCAGTTGCAGTCCCACCCAGGAGGGCAGGGCTCCTGCCTGCTGTGTGGAGCACACAGCCCTAGTTGTGCCTCCTTGCTGCAGCCGGGATGATGGCAGGCGAACTGGAGTGGCTGCCACCATCAATTGTACCACAATATAGTCAAAGAATGGATATGGCAAAATTTCCCAGACAGTCTATTAAGAGAGTTTTTTAATGACTTATTTGGACAATTTAAAATGTTATTTAAAAGGTAAATTAAAAGGATGCTGTTGTAGAAAGGAAAGGAAGATGCCTATGAATAATTACAATAAAACTATATTTTAAGCATGCTGCTTCCAGCTATAACCCTATACACTATGTTGTTTATCTTTTTTCATTTCAGAAATAGTTAAAAAGCATCAGATAAGTAGATCTGAAAATGTCCTTAATTTTAGAAAATGACTTAAAAGCTATATCAGGTGAAGCAAATCCAGTACCTAAGTTTTAAGTATATTTCAGTCAGAAGTTGGGGGCAGGGGAAGTACTATTGAAGACAGGTGGCTTTAAGAAAATTCATGAAATAATATAAAATGCAAACAAGACAAAAATGTTAAACATAAAAAATTAAAGTCTCATCTAATACATTCCTTGGTGATAGCCATTGTGCTCAATTTTTCTAAAGGTTTTCATAGTGTATGTATGCATATATATAAAATTAATATAAAATTTATATACAAGTTATATAGACTAATTTATATATTAATTATATCTTGTATGTTAACATTTAATATATTAATATTCACTATATTATATATAATACATTATATGTAATACATAATATATATAAAATTAACAACATAGCTCTTGCTAAGAAATATGTATACATACTTTAGAAAACTTTGTATATATCTGTGTATGTGTACTGTATATATATGTATACCATAGGTATGTGTGATAGGCATATATGTTATATATGTTATATATATACTGTAGGTATATAGATTTATTTTGTTATTTTTAATTGCTGAATATCAGTGCATTGTATCCATATACCACAATTGATTTAACTCATACCAAATTATGGATTGTTGAGTTGATTCTATTTTGCTAATATTGCAAAGAATACAGTAATTGATATCTTTTAAGATAAACTGTTGCAATCTCATATCAGTATTTCTATGGGACAAAATAATACATTAGGAATTGTGATAAAGAATAAACATACTAAAAACAGTATTTATTGCTAAATTGTCCCTGAAAATTTATCAATTTACTTCATCATAGGAAGTAAATGACATTATTTCTTTTCTAAGAAAACTGTCATGACTGAATGTTAACAAACCTCTTAAACATTTTTCCTCAGAAGGATGCAAATGATAACTATTTATTTAAATTTAATATTTTTTTGCCTATTGTTTTTGCTCAGCAAGTTTTTTTGTAGCACAGATCCCTTTCATAAAGGCAGACCCATCCCTGAGTTGTTTTTTCCTTATGGGTTTGATTTTTATGTCATTGAAAATGGTCTTCTCCAGTTAATTTACTAAAATAGTCATTGGTTGGTTTTTAGGTCTTTTTTGTTACATTAAAAATCATTTAGAGGTAACTGTAAATTCATACACAGTTGTAAGAAACAACACAGAGAGATCCTATGTACTTTTCACCCAATTTTCCCCAATGGTAACATCTTGCAAAACTAAAACACAATATCACAACCAAGATATTGACATTGATACAGTCAAGACACAGAACATTTCCATCACCACAGTGATCCATAATATGACCTTTTAAGAGCTACATCTACTTCCCTCCTGTCCCCATCCCCTCGTAAACCCTGGTAACCACTAATTTACTCTCTGTTTCCACTTTTTCATTTCAAGGATGTTATATAAATGGAATAGTATAGCATATTACCTTTTGGGATTGGCTGTTTTCACTCAGCATAATTCCATGGAGATTCATGCAGAATGTTCCAATGAAGCAATAATTTGTTCTTTTTCTTGCTAAATAGTATCCCATGGTATAGATTACTATGGTTCGTTTAGCCATTCATTTAAAAAAAGGGCATCTAGATTGTTTCCAGTATTTTGCGACTATGAATACAACTGCTAGGAATATTGGTGTACAGGCTTTTGTGTGAAAATAAATTTTCATTTATTTGAGACATGCCCCTGACATATCATTTGCTTAATAGATATCTTTGAATAATCGAATTGATAAATTGTGAGAAGAGAATAGAAAACAAAGTGTACCACATTTAGTTATTTTCATTAATATTCTAAAATACCTGTTTGTGAGAATTTACTGTTCCATTAAAGAGGTCATTAATAGGTCACATTTCTCTATAAAAACACTAATCTTATCAGCACAGTTTGTATTCTCTGTGCTGAAGATCCCCCAGAGGCACTGCAGTGAACACACAGGGATACCAGGGGATATTTTAAAAATTTCGGGGAGACAGTGAGTGATACTTGACAACTGTCAGACATGATGCAAATTACCAGCTCAAGGTAGTCCACAGTTCCACTTTGGTGGCACTACATTCTTTTCTATTAGTCCACAACTTTGTGCAACTTGGGATCTAGTGGTTGCTGTGATGAATAGCCAAAGCAGTTACTGTGGGAAAAATCCATGTGGAATAAGGAATGAAGATGGTGATGCCCAATCTGATTTCAAGAGCTGAGATGCTGTGCAGCGTCAAACAGTTATACACATATTATTCATAATTGTGGTTAAAGAATAAAATAAAAATATTTTCTTCCAATGTATGTGTTTTCAAATGGCTACTAAGTTGTCAGCACAAAAATACTGAAGTTATTTTGATGTAACAACATAATAAATGAAGCTGTTATGTATTTCTTTTCATGAAAGGATGCCATAAAAAGCAAACAAACAACAAAAGTTACTGTATCATTAAGAGAACTAGGTGAATGTTTGGGACCCTCTGCTATAACTAGTCACATATCCTAAAAATTTTCTAAGGGAAATAATTCTTTTTGTAAAAAAAAGAAAATTTGGCAAGATAGAAGTGTAATTCTCTAAACCCAAGGCAAGAAAAGAGAATGCAGATGCGTATAGGAGAATTACTCAGTATCTTCAGCCTCTGAAAGGGAAGGCTGGTTGAGCCCCGGTCCAGAGATTTATTGAGAGTGAGACTGAAGTATCCTGTTTCTCTTAGTCAGGGAGACACTTCTGTAGGCCAGACCATTGGACACCTTAGCTAGTGAGAGGATTCTTTCTTATTTTTTTCTGTCTGAATACATGTGTAAATGGGGACATAACTGCCATATTTTAGTGTTGCTAGCCATTTAGCTGAGAGTTAATTTGAATTAGTTAGGTGTCTGGGGATCCCACTGGATAGAGACAAACAAATGACACAGTTAATAGTGAATTACCAGCCCTGTACTGGTCATACTCCAGTCGAAGTAAAATGCTCAATGTGTATTTAGCCTGCTTCTATTAATTATTATATTAAATAGGTGTAAGCGAGTCTGTTGTAATTATGACTCAGATTCCAGAAGGAATAAGTAAAATGTGACCAAATAGAATCTGAAGCAAAAATTAAACAAACTTTGAGGCAAAAATACCACAAGCAAAATCAAAAGACAAATGACTGCCTAGGAGGAAAATATTTGCATCTTATATCGCGGATAAAAGGATAATCTCCCTAATATATAAAGAGCTCTAAAACAACGGAAAAGCTATAGAAATGTTCTTAAGATTATAACATTTTTAACTTCATTTATTCTTGCCAAAAAGGTTCGAGTCTAATTGTGAGGAAATAATCAGATTCTGAATGAGAGTCTTTACTCAAGATAGCTAGCCAAGACTCTTCTGAAAAGACATTTCCATACAAAACAAAAGTCATGAGGTACAACTCAATAAGATGAGAAATAACTCAATAAAAATGAATAAAATATTTGAATAGATACTTCCTTAAAAGGATATACACATGGCAGTCTGGGCTTGGTGGCTCAAGCCTATAATCTTAGCACTTTGGGAGGCTGAGGCAGGCAGATCACCTGAGGTCAGGAGTTTGAGACCATTCTGGCCAACATGGCAAAACCCTGTCTCTATGAAGAGACCCTGTCACCTCTTCAATGCTTCCATCCTCACCTTGAAAGTATTGCTCTTCCAGTGATTTAACCAGGTAATTTTTAAGATTCAAGCCACCTATTCTTTACTAGTTTATTGACGATTTGATAACAATAGTAGTTTCGCAGATTGTCAGATACACGAGGCTAAGACTGGGTGGCTGAAAGTCAGAGACATTGCCTTGTGCATCCTTAGGTACCTGTGGACAAGGTTTTGACATTCATTTGGACTGAACCTTAGCACTGTCCATCTAGATAGCAATGTATCTGAAATGTTTTAATATACCTTTAATCTCAATACACATTAAATTAAAAAAGCATAATTATTAAAATTAAAATATATTTGTGTCTTTAACACAAGTGAAATGTAAACATTTCAAAAACTTAAAAAGAGGCCATGCTCAGTGGCTCACACCAGTAATCCCAGCATTTTGGGAGGGCGAGGCAGGCAGACCACTTGAGGTCAGGAGTTCGAGACCAGCCTGGCCAACTTGGCGAAACCACATCTCTACTAAAAACACAGAAATTAGCTGGCCATAGTGGCGGGCGCCTGTAATCCTAGCTGCTTGGGAGTCTAAGCAGGAGAATCGCTAGAACCCAGGAGGCAGAGAGTGCGGGGAGCGGAGATCGTGCCATTGCATTCTAGCCTGGGTGACAAGAGCTAAACTCCATCTCAAAAAAACAAAAACAAAACAAAAACAAACAAAAATTTTTAAAAGGAACAAATGCTAACTAATTCTATTTTTTTTCTTTCTCCTGCCATCTTTTATTGGGCACCCATTTTGTGAAAGTTAGGACACACAAAAATACAGAGGAATGATCTCAACCTTTGAAGAGCTCATCATTTAATGGCATTTTAGAACTTTTAGAACAGACTAAATTTAATGATAAAATTCAGATAATATCAAGGATAGTTAAATGCATTTATATAGTCTTTTCTATTTGTTTTTGGTAAGCTCCTACTTTCCACGTTCTATTAACGTAGGACACAGTTGCTAAACTCTAATAACTGGTTATTAGCGAAAAAAATCAGAATATATTTGAACCAAACATTCATTTAGGCTTGTTTTGGTAATGAGATTTTGAATTTCTCATTTTTAAGTTGGCATCTTCTGTTTTGAAGAAAGGAATCTAAATGTGAGTAACCATTTACAGGCATTGCTACTCACAACGTAGTCTCCAGAGCAACATCCCTGCAATCTTAAAATGCAGAATCTTAGCCTTCACCCCAGACATTCCGAATTAGAATCTGCATTGTAAAGAGAGCCTCAAGTGATGTATATGCTCCTTAAAGTTTGAGAAGCAAACATCGCTGCTAATGGGCATCAACACAGCATGCACTCTGAAGGCAAAACCCTGTAGACCAGGGATTCTCAAAGTGTGGTCCCTGGGTGGTCAGTATGAGCATCGCCTGGGAACTTGTGAGAAACATCAATTCTCAGGTCCCAGCCCAGTCTTAGTGAATCAGAAAACTAAATGACACTCAGCTGTGCTTCAATAAGCTCTCCCGGTGATTCTGATATCTATTAAGTTTGAGTACCACTGTTTAGTTGGTGAAAACAGGTGAAAGTAGATGAAATCTTTCAATTCCCATGTTCTCAGGGCTTGGCCTTCTGAGATGCACAGAACAAGTAAATTATCATCCAGTTATTTCTTTCGTGTTCAGATGTGGAGACAGATGTTATAGGATATTAGGAAGTTTTAATAAAGTAAACCTTAGTGCATAAAAATAACTATATCTGATGCTTTGGACTCTAAAACAAGTGAAGCCTTCTGTTGTACTTCTATTGCACATTTTGCTTTATCTTTGCTCTTGTTTTTTGACATTTGAGTAAAAAGTGTAACATCTTAGAAAATGAAACAAAATTATATTTATGGCACGTGTGTGCTGTCCAAAGTTGTAATTAATTACCCACACCTATGTGTGGCTTCAGGCATTTTGGCATATAAGGCTATTCTCCCCAACTTCCTGTTTCCTGAGTGAGGTTTGGTTTTCAATCTGGGCAAATGAAGACCATTCTGGGGTTCAAAGGGCTCTTTTATCTGCATTCCTTGATATGGACCTGCGCTGGGGACTGGTCAGGTATAACTTATCACTTGGGGAATAGAAGTTTCTTAAAGAGAGCTGAAAGATGTGGCTTTGGATTCTTTACAGTTGTGGTCTGGTTGAATCTTAATAATAGCCAAGGACACATGGAGGGGTGGTGCCTCTTTTCGATGTGCAATCTTGAGATACCATGTTTTTCTCTTGCATACCGGCACTGAGACTAGGGAATGTGCCCTAACCTGAGACTGTCTTTCTCCAACTCCCCTTTCCTTTTGATCTTATTCTGACCATATCAATTCTTGGGGATCAAGTACTTGAAGTGGGTTTAATATAAAGAGTGTGGAGTGGCCTGGAAAACAGAGGAGTGGGTGGTGGTAGGAACTTGGGACTCTGTGGTGTGTCACATACAGGAAGAAAGCCTTATAAGGCTTAGCCTTTCTTTACCTTATACTTCATAGATCCTTTTCATTTCAGAGGGAGCAGTCAGTGCCCCCTAAGTGAGGTGAGCAGTGGTCCAGGTTTTCCCAGTACTTTTCCTGCGTCGGCCCCAAAAACCTCCTGTTCGGAGCAAACCAGAATGATTGGTAGCCCTGAGTATAAACTTGGGCTGTCAGTTTCTCTTCCTCTATTTCTGCTTCTCTTTCTCTTTTCCTTTCTTTCTCTCCTCCCTTCTTTCTTCCTTTCTTTCTCTTTCTCCCTCGTTCCCTCCTCCCTCCCTCTTTCTTTTCTTTCCCTTCCTTCCTCCTTTCCTTCTTTTCTTCCTTTCTTTTTTTTTTGGGACAAGAGTCTCGCTGTCACCGAGGCTGGAGTGCAGTGGTATGATCTGGGCTCACTACAGCCTCTGCCTCCCGGGTTCATGTGATTCTTGTGCCTCAGCCTCCCAAGTAGCTGGCACTGCAGATGTGCACCACCACATCCAGCTAATTTTTGTATTTTTAGTAGAGACGGGGTTTTACCATATTGGCCAGGCTGGTCTCAAACTCCTGGCCTCAAGTGATCTGCCCACCTCGGTCTCCCAAAGTGCTGGTATAACAGGTATGAGCCACTGTGCTGAATGCTTTTTTCTGTTTTCTTTTCTTTCTCTCCTTCTCTCTTTTTCTTTTTTTTCTTCCCTTTCTCTTCCTCTTCCCTTTCTATTACTCTTCCCTTTCTCTTCCTCTTCTTTCTCTTCCTCTTCTCTTCCTGTTCCCTCTTCCTCGTCCCTTGCTCTTCCCTTCCTCTTTCTCTTTCTCTTCTTTTTCTCTTTTTTCTTTTTCTCTTCTTTCCCCTTCTCTTTCTCATCTTTCTCTTTCTTTTCTTTTTCTCTTTCTCTTCTCTTTCTCTTCTTTCTCTTTCTTTTGTTTTCTTTCTTTCTTTGTCACTCAGGCTGGAGTGCAGTGGTGCCATCGTAGCTCACTGCAGCTGTGAACTGCTAATTAAAAAAAAATTTTTTGTAGAGACTTGCTATGTTGCCCAGGCTAGTCTCCAACTCTTGACCTCAAGGAATCCTCCCACCTTGGCTTCCCAAAGCTTTAGGATTAAAGGCGTGAGCCACTGCTTCCTGCCTGGGCTGTCAATTTCTAAGGTTAAGATTTCGGAATTGCAGTGAAAGGTTGTGTATACTTGTCAAGCTACCCGTTCAACAAGACAACCTAGACCTGACATGGGTACATGTTAGAATCTTAGTGTATTCATTATGCTTTCTTTTATTAGGAACTATTTAAAATGGATAACTAAGTTTAAAAAAGCAGGTAACTATAAGGAATAATATCAATATTCACTGACCTGCTCTTCAGCTTTATTAAATCCATAATTTGCTACATTTGCTTACATTTTATTTTCTAATAGAAGTAAAAGTTCAGGTAGAGTTGAAGTCCCTGTGGTCATTCCTGATCCTATTCTCTTCCCTCTTTGCCCATATGTGAGTTTGGTAATTATTCATTTTCCTGTGTGTTTTACAATTTTACGTCAAATTTGTGGATCTGTAAATATGTTTCGCAGGCATTTATCTTCTATTTCTATTTAATTCTACAGCTTTTTTGTTGTCCATCACTTGGAGATTTACATTTGTAGCTTTGGTATATTTTAATTACTATTTAGCAGTCCAGTGAATAAATGCATTGCAAATTGTTTCTGTTCTCACATTGATAGAATTTTTCTAGTGTGGGGCCGTTACAAATAATGTTTGTATTTGAGTGGTTTCTTTTTGTGTGTGCATATCTAGGAATGGGACTGTGAGGCCACAGGTACAGATCTGAAAAGTAACTCTCTTGCTCAATTGTTCTTTAATTCTAATTGGTGCTCACAGATGTCTTACTTTTTGCTAATGTGGATATGAATAACTGGTTTTACATTTAAGGAACGTCTTATTTTTAGGTAATTGTAGATTCACATGCAGTGTAAGAAATAATACAGAGATCAATTATACTATTTATTCAGCTTCACACAATGGTAACATCTTGCAGAAATATAATACAGTATTACATTGGGATATTAATATTGATGTAGCCAAAGGACAGACATTTCTATTGTAATCAGGATGCCACTTTTAGAGCCACTTCTACTTTCCTCCTGAACCACTAATGCCAAACCTTCTGTCTCCGTTTTCCTTAATTTTTGTCAAGCACAGATCTGTTCTCCATTTCTACAATTTTGTCATTTCAAGGGTGTTATATAAATGGGCTCAGAGTTTGTAACCTTTTGGAATTGGCGTTTTTTTTCACTCAGTGTAATTCCTTGAAGATTCATCCAAGATGTTGCGTGTATCAACACTTGATTCTTTTTATTGCTGAGTGGAATTCCATGGCATGATTGTACCATGGTTTGTTTAACCATTCACCCACCAAAAGACATCTGGGCTGTCTTCAGTTTTTGACTATTATAAATGAAGCTATTGTTAGCATTTATGTACTTTTTTTTTTTTTGAGACAGAGTCTAGCTTTGTCGCCCAGGCTGGAGTGCAGTGGCACCATCTCGGCTCACTGCAACCTCTGCCTCCCAGGTTCACATGATTCTCCTGCCTCAGCCTCCTGAGTAGCTGGGATTACAGGCACGTGCCACCATGCCTGGCTAATTTTTGTATTTTTTGTAGAGATGGGGTTTTACCATGTTGATCAGACTGGTCTTGAACTCCTGACCTCGTGATCCACCCGGCTCGCCCTCCTAAAGTGCTGGGATTACAGGAGTGAGCCACCTCGCCCAGCCCATTTATGTACATTTTATGTGAACATACATTTTTATTTCCCTGGGATAAATGCCGAAGAGTTTAATTGTTGAGTCATATGGTTGTTGTATGTTTAGTTTTTAAAGAAATTGACAAACTGTTTTCTAGTGTGGTTGATACATTTCACATTGTCCCAGCAATGTATGAGTGACCCAGTTTCTCGGCATCCTCACCAGCGTTTGGTGTCTTCACTATTATTCATCTTAGCCATTGTGATAGGTGTGTAGTAATATCGTGATTTGAATTTGGATTTCCATAATGGCTGATGATATTAAACATCTTTTCATATAGTTATTTGCAATATGTATAGCCCCTTCTGTGAAAGGATTGCAGATTTATATTCCTTTGGTTTCTCCGCTGAGTTTTCAGTATCTCCTGAGAACTCAGGCTCCTTCTAGTATCTTAAGAGCAACTGATAAAATTTTCCTTTAGTGAAGTCTAGAAGAATAGCCAAACTTACTCTTAAAAAATCAAAAACAAAAAAACTCATGCCTACCCAGTCTCATAATTTCTAGTTTGATCTAATTCTCTTTCCCTGGGACCTAATTCAAGCAGCAGATTGTATCAGAAAATTATTTCCATTTCCAGAGTAAAAAAACTTAATGTCCAGATATTTCAAGATAGAAGGGAAAGGATAGCACTGTTTTTACTCAATTTCTATAAAAGCCTGCTTGCTAGCTTGAGTTTTGTGGACAAGTCTTTATATATCATGAAACTGTGGGTATAAAAATGGAAACTGCTTGCTTCCATAGAAATGGAAGGGCTTGCGTCAAAGAGCTTCAGTTGAACAAGGGAGACAGAAAATGCTCTATACTTAGTATAAACATTATAATATAGATATAGTCTTGTGATTCTAGCTCTACAATAAGTGACTTTGGAGGGTTAGATGAAATCTTATTTTGTATTGATTTTTTCCCCCCTATATATAGATTCACTAAAGAATGTATTTGAAGAATGAGTATATGTGTGGATATTTTTAGGGGATGAAGTAATAATTCAGAGACCATGTTTTGCAAACTTGTTCACCTCTTAAGACATTTTGTTTTAGTAAGGGATGATCTCTTCATTTGTATTAACAGGGTATGCTAAATTTTTTTGAGCTGATCTATGTAATTGCATACTAACAAAATTTCTTTTTCCTGCTTTTCAGCTATTCAAGTACACTGCACCCAGTTTTGGTTCTTTGCCAGGATTAAACCCACGATATTTTACAATTTGTATGTGAACCCCGATGAAGTGTTTCTAGGAGATGGCTGCCATGTAACCCATGTTTTGCCAAATGTCTACTATGAGTTTTTCTACCATCCTCATGACTGTGGTATTGTAACTCAAGTAAGAAATGGCTATCTTACTTAAAACCCAAGTGTCCAGGTGTGTGATGTTCCCCTTCCTGTGTCCATGTGTTCTCATTGCTCAATTCCCACCTATGAGTGAGAACATGTGGTGTTTGGTTTTTTGTCCTTGCGATAGTTTGCTAAGAATGATGGTTTCTAGCTTCATGGGGCCTGTTGTGGGGTGGGGGGAGGGGAGAGGGATAGCATTAGGAGATATAACTAATGTTAAATGACGAGTTAATGGGTGCAGCACACCAACATGGCACATGTATACATATGTAACAAACCTGCACGTTGTGCACACGTACCCTAAAACTTAAAGTATAAAAAAAAAACCAACAAAAAAACCCAAGTGTCTTATGGTTCCTTCAACATACCTACAAACTAGAAGTCATTAAGTGTCTATTTGTAATATGGCTAGACTCTTTAATGATCACATTTAGGACAGAAGCAGTTAAGAAAGGAGATGCTAAATGCTTTTCTCTTGTTAGGTGGTAATTGCAAACACTAATTATTCATTTAGTGATGGAGCAGGCGGGAGAGTTGAAGGTTTTGAAGGAAGAAAGTATTTTCCATGCATCAGAAAGTTTTTCAACAGTTTCTCTAACTAATTATTTATTATAATTCATGAAGTTTGGTCAATTGCGACCAGAATGAGGGAGTAACACTAATCAAGCATCAGAAGCCTTTTCAAAGTAAATATTCAGTGATCTCCCAGCCCTAGCCCCTACTCACCAGATATTTTGGGTTAACTAAGTCATTGTGCATATCACTGATAAAAGTATAACTGGAATTTTGACTTAATTTAAAAAGTTTTTAAAGTTAGTAAAATCTTGCTATGATATTACTTATTTTTTTCATTATCCCAAATAAAACGCTAAAAGAAGTAATAGAACTTGATCAGGTTTAGATAAATTCCACAGATTGGGTAACACAGAAAGCAAAAGCAAAATTTGAGGTAGAGTTGAGTGTGCGGAATATTTATTAAGAAGTGTTTTTGGGAGAAAGAAGATTGGGCAAAGGGCAAAGCTGAGCTGTGATGCAGGCTTAGAGACAGCTTTGGCTGACCCTGCACAGGGCTTCACATTCCTGCTGGGTAGGTGATCAGAAGTGGGCCACCCTGGGAGAGGGGTGTGGCCAGGGGTAAGACAGCCCTCAGCAGCTACATAATTCCTGGAGGGGGTGAGAGCTGAAGGCTGAAGGCTATCTGGTAACAGCATTCCTAGCAGCTGGGTCAACAAGCCCTTAGGGGATCTGGGAAGCACATTACAGGTCTAATACACCACAGCAGGTATTAGGGGGGCACTATCAACCTTGATATAAACTGCGGGGGGGGGGCAGGGAATATTCAAATGTTAACTGAATAATCTGGGTGGTGGTAGTATGTTAATTTCATTTTATCTATGCTTATATTTTCAAATTATCCAATGAGAGCAGGATATATCTGAGACGGGAACATTTAAAATTATGTAATGAATATGGGTATCTCTGAATCATCATATCCTCCTATGCTGTCAAAGATTGGGCCTTATATTGAGAACCATATGCTAAATGTTCTTAGAAAAATATTTTACTATTAATTGTCTTAACTCCATTCCACCCCACCCCCCTGAAAACAGCTATACTTCCTGTTAGGTATTTACTATATGCTGATAACTTAATCACTATTATTCTTTACCACCATAATTATTGCTTTTTTTAGAAATAAGAAAACAGACTTAATTGTTTAAACACGGTTTCCAAGGATTCATGATGAATAGAGGCAGCTCCAAGATTCCAAATGTGATTCATATGATCTCAAAGCCCATGCTCGCTTTGAATAAGCAATGTATCACTACAACTGTGTGTCTCAAAAAGAGGTGTCAATTGCTTTCTTGAATGTGAATCACAAAGCTCCTTTCTCTTTTAACTAACAAGTATTGCTTGCCTTTTATGTGCAAGCACTGTGCCAGATTTTAACCCATCTGTCAGTTTGGAAAATGGTCCTGTTTCCTGTGAACAGATGCTATTTATAGTTGAGTGAGAGTGTGACCATTTTTAGAAAGCTTGATGTATCTATAAATTCCTATTTAAATGCCTGTAAGTTTCCTGAGATACTTGAGACAAACATGGGTTTAAAACCTCTCTTTGTCTTGTAGCCTCTCCAGGAAGTTCTTCTGCTTAAAACTAAAATCAGGTATATCTCAAGAGACTCTACTGTCCGATCTGAAATGCCTCTGTCGTGTGTCGTCCACAAGTGAGTATGGAATGCCAAACCCCTGTCCTAGCCCCTGGCTTCATTTACTGTCCAGACAAAAATGCCAAACCTGAAAGGTTAAATGGTACAACCAGTGATGGGAGTTGGGGAGACACCAAACCCTAATGGGAACACAGATCTCTTGATCCTTGGTGTCTTAGTCCTCTGTTGCATTGCTATAAAGAGAAATGCTGGCTGGGCACGGTGGCTCACACCTGTAATCCCAGCACTTTGGGAGGCCGAGGTGGGAGGATCATGAGGTCAGAAGATCGGGACCATCCTGGCTAACACGGTGAAACCCTGTCTCTACTAAAAATACCAAAAAAAAAAAAAATTAGCTGGGCATGGTGGGGGGTTGCCTGTAGTCCCAGCTACTTGGGAGCTTGAGGCAGCAGAATGGCGTGAACCCAGGAGGCAGAGCTTGCAGTGAGCTGAAATCGTGCCATTGCACTCCAGCCTGGGTGACAGAGCGAGACTCTGTCTCAAAAAAAAAAAAAAAAAAAAAAAAAAATGTCAGAGACTGGGTAATTTATAAGAAAAGAAGTTTAATTGGCTCATTGTTCTGCAAGCTGTGCAGGAAGCATGGCTGGGGAGACCTCAGAGTTTTTACTCATGGCGGAAGGCAACGGAAGGCAACAGAAGGCAAAGCTGGAGCAGGCATACTCACGTGGCTGGAGCAGGAGGAAGTGGTCGGGGGAGGTGCTGCACACTTTTAAAAAACCACATCTCCCGAGAACTGTATCATGAGACCAGCACCAAAGGGATGGTGCTAAACTAGGGGTCCATAACCCCTGAGCCATGGACATGCAGTGGTCCCTTGCCTGTCAGGAACCTGGCAGCACAGAAGGAGGTGAGCAGCAAGCCAGCATTACCACCTGAGCTGTACCTCCTCTCAGATTAGTAGTGGCATTGGATTCTCATAGGAGCACGAACCCTATTGTGAACTTCGCATGTGAGGGATCTAGGTTGCGCACTCCTTATGAGAATCTAATGCCTGGTGATCTGAGGTGGAACAGTTGCATCCCCAAACCATCACCCCCTATCAGTGCAAAAATTGTCTTCCACAAAATTGGCCCCTGGTGCCAAAACGTTTGGGGACTGCCGTGCTAAACCATTCGTGAAGGGTCCACCTCCGTGACCCCATCACCTCCCACCAGGTTCCATCTCCAATATTGGGGATTACAATGAACATGAGATTCGAGTGGGGACACAGATTCCAAACCATATCACTTGGTCTTGTATTCTTCAAAAGTTGTTACAACTGTCCCCTAGAACATAGGAATACTAGGAATATTATTGAAAAATGAAATGATGACTTATTTTTCTATATAAGTGTCAGGGTCCCTGAAAACCTGATAGGTTTTCACCAACCAAATCAAGTTATTTCAGTTATTTAAACTTGAACCCATATGCAAGTTTCCTGAAGGCAATAGAGAAAGCATAATGAAGTCTAAAAGACACTGAACTCATCAGGTTGTCAAGATCAGCATGTACTATGCAGGGCTGACAGTGTTGGGAGAGAGACATCTTAAAACAGGATTTGTGGGTTAAGATTGGGTCTTTTTTTTTTTTTTTATTAATTGACATCTTGAGAAAGTCTAAGTGCTTATTTCATATTATATGCCTGTATCAAAATATCTCATCTACCATATCTATCTATCTATCTATCTATCTATCTATCTATCTATCTATCTATCTATCTGTCTATCTACTCTGTACCCACAAAAACTAAAAATAAAAAAATTTAGAAAATTAATAACCATTTTGATTAGGTCTTAGCAAAAGTGTGATATATTTGGCAGGACTTTGGACAATTTTTCAATTAGGTTTTTCTGGTTAAAATCCTGAACTGAAATTTTTTTTCCCTGAGTAATTACAGAAGAGCCATATTACATAGAGCTCTTCCCACAGATAATTATAATAGCAGCTAACATTTATTAATCACTTACCATATGCCTACACTGTGCTTGTATGAATGTATTTTTTCCTTCTGCTAACTCAATGAGGTAGATATTCTTCTTCTTTTTTTTTGATTTTTAAGTGGTTGAGCCTCCTTATTTTGTTCAGGCCGATCTTGAACTTCTGGGTTCAAGGAAGTCTCTCTCCTCAGTCTCCACGTAGCTGGGACTATAGGCACCCAGCTATGGTGGTAGATACTATTATGCCAAATTCAGGATGAGAAAATTGAAACAGAGAAATTAAGTTACTTGGTCAACATCATTTGCTGGTAGATGGTGGAATCAAGAAGTGAACCCAGAAGTCTGTTTTTTAAGTCTTTGCTTCTTAGCACCACAAATACTGCCTGTGATGTTCTGGGGTGGGGTGTGTTGGGGAGTGGTGGCGGGAAGCAGAAATCAATACATCTACTAATAACAGGAATTTGGCCCCAAGTTCAGCCTTGTAAATGCTAGGATCTGAGTAGATCTTAACCACTATGTGATATTTTTCTATCTTCTCTTATTTTAGTCAGCATCATCTTTTAAATGCAGTTGAAATGAGAGATGGGGAAACTGACAATGTTAATGAATGGGAGATAGAGGTGAGGATACACATTGCGAATGAAGACATGGGCAGTAACTTCTGCAACACAATCTTGGTAAGAACCCTTCAAAACTGGCATCTTATGATTTTTGTCCAGGTATGTCCTAGATACCAGTCAATACAATTGTCAAGGAAATGGCACACATTTGTGTTAAGGTGCATTGTGCCTAAAATGTTTCCGGTTCAAGAATGCAAATTCATGATTTCCTATGTTTGTTGGAGATTTTATTGATCATGGTGGTCTTGATAATCTGTTACTAACTGGGAACCCCATATAACTAAGAGCTATCCATTTTGGGTATTATGTGAAATACTATAATTAACTTAAAAAGAAAATACCTATCAATTTCAATATCAATAAAGTTCTGAATTGTAATAAATGAGTATTAACACTGAGCCTACAAAGTGGCTTAGATATGTTGATGATCCCTGGGAAAGTGAACTCAGAAGTGTCATAAGTCTGTGTTGCAGCTTTTCCCAGGAAGTACCAAATGACTGTAAGGTAGTACAGTTTTTCATTCTTGAGCCCCATATGAAGGTATATTATGAAAAATCCACACACATTAATATCTGGCTATTAATAAAAGGATGGAGCTGTGTTTAATAGAGAGTAAACAGGATACCTAGAACATTTGGGATGTACTTCATAGCTTAGAGGGCAAAAGTATCCTTATTCACTTATACACACATCACACTTGAATCATTAAACACTTAAGGATTAGTCTCAAGGATAGAACATATACTTTCTTTCTTCTCCTCCCTTACCTCCCACTTACACCTTCTCCTTCATTTCCATACATATACTTTGCTTTACTTATGAATAACAGGCTCTTAGAAGTAGGGAAGTAATGTTTACATTGGGACGTATATTTTACTGTCTTTCTTCCATTTTGGTAAGAATCTGACTGCTACACTCCCTCGTTCATCAAATGAGTACCTTTATTGCAAGAGAAGAAACTGTTCTGTCCCCTTTGATATTGAGAGGCAATTTGGAATCTCTGCCATGATTGCTTAGGACTGAGGATTTAATGTGCTATTTTGTGAAAATCTGAGAAGCAGGAAGGGGATTTAATGCTCTCAACTGTTATCCATCTGAAAAACCTAAATTGTGATTTTAAATAAAAAGCAGGCTGCCTTCCACTATTCCCTTTTTAAAATAGGAACTGCCACTGCTCTTAACTTTATGAAGTTTTATTTATGAATAAAGTTTATACTACTATATATCTGTTTCTAGTTATTGCAAGACTGACTTGTATGTAATTTTAAGCTTCAATGCTCATTAGAAATAGGTTTTTAAGGGTACAGTTACTAACTCTTCTCAGTTGCTGATTCATGCCCTTAGCTAAGGCTTAGTTGTGGTTGGTCCTGGTAACAGTGCCTAATCATTCATTTATTCCACAAAGAATCCCTCATGGAGTTCACACTTTAGTAGGAGGAGGCAGAGTATACACAAAAAACATACTCTATGGTATTTTAAGAAAGAGTAAATGCACCTTAGGGAACAGAGGCAGAGTAAGAAGACAGGGAATACTTGGGTGAGGGTTGTGGTCCTTAATATGGCATCAGGGAAGGCATCCGTCAAAGGTGATGATTGAGGAAAGAGCTCAAGGAAGTGAGAAAATGAGCCCCGCAGATCCTGGAGGGAAGGCCGTTCACACATGTACCCTAAAACTTAAAGTATAATAATAATAAAATTAAAAAAAAAAGAATATGGGAACAGCTGATGTAAAGTCACTGAGTGTTTGCAGAACAAGGCCAGCATGATTGGAGAGGGAAAGTCATACAGGTGAGGTCTTAAAACAACAACTGAAACATCTAAAACAATGAGTGGAGTACCTCATCTAATGTCTCAAAGTTGATTGACACACTTGGCTTTTGTTTGAAATAAGATGGGCACCCCCTGGAAAGCTCCAAATGGAGGAGTGACATGATCTGACTTGGATTTTTATGATCAGGATCACCCTGGCTGCTGGATGGAGAATGGATACCAAGAGGAAGCAGCGACTGAAGTAGGGAGAAGGATTAGGTAGTGATGACTACAAGGCCAATGGTCCTCAGCTAGGGGCAATTTTACCCTCTGGGGGATGTATCTGGAAGCAGCTTTGTTCATTACAGTGATGGTGTTAGTGTCCTACTGGCATCTGTATAGACCCAGGGATGCTGCTGAACATCTACAGTGCCTAAGACAGCCACTGATGACAAAGAGATTTCCGGGCCCAGAGTCAATAGCACTGAGGATGAGAACCCTGGTTTAGATGTAGCATGGATTTCATAGGAAGAGTTCAGGTCAATTGATCTAAAGATTTGCAGACAGCTAGATATGAAATATGTTAGAGGAATCTGGAGAGTTTAGGATTTATGAGCTACTACAAAGTGGGAGATGCTACTGTCTTGGATAAAAATGTGGAAGATGTTGGTTCGGAAACCTTATTTTGAAAATGCCATGTTTAAGATGCTGCTTAGATCTCCAAGAGGAGAGAGCAAGTGAGTAGTTGAATATAGAGGTCTAGAGTTCAGAGGGAGAAGGTCCAGACTGGATGTAGAACATTAGGATTCATCAGTACATACTAATACTTAAAGCCAGTAAGATTGCATGAGTTCAAAGCAAAGAAGTAAGGAAAATGAAGACAATCAGTCCAAGGTTTGGGTCTTGGCATATCCAATGTTAAGAGGTTGCTGAGAGAAGGCAGAGCCTTTGAATGAGCCAAAGAGAAGACAGTAAGGTCAATTGGAAGTAAAACCAGGGCAGAGTGGGGTCCTGGGAGCCGTGCAGGTGGAGTTGTCAGCTGTATCTTCTGTTGCTGAAAAGTTAAGTGGGATGAGAACTAAGCGTTGTCCATTAGATCCAGCAATGTGAGGGGCATTGATGACTTTGATAAAAGACAGTTTTGGTGGAGAGGTATGGGTGAAAATTGGTTGAGTCAGCTTTAAGGAAGTATGAGAAGAAAGAAACCCAAAGGTATGAGTACAGGTGGCTTTTTCTAGGAGTACGGCTGTAAAGAGAAAAATAGAAATGGGGTCATTGTAGGGGAAAGTGGAGACAGAAACTAGTGTATAAGATAAGTACCTGCACATGGTAATAGTTTTTTTTTTATAGATTACCATGAATTTCTGAATACTTTTTAAAGAGATCCAGATGTTTAAGAAATGATTAAGAAATTTTGGCTTCAGAGTTGTGTCCTTAAATAAAAACTGCCTGCATTACTATCATATGATAGTAAAAAGTCCCAAACATTTATAATAATCACTACAGCTATTTATGATAAATTATCAAATTGCAAAAAAATCCAAACTAGTGTACAGGTGGAGGGATAAGATGGATTGCTGAAATGCTGAATATAAAAAAAGGTGGGTAGAAGGTTGAGGCACATCAGTAAGTCAGGTGGGGTAACCTCGTATTGCTCAAATTACCTCCACAATAACAGATCCTAAAATTAAAAAAAAAAAACATGGCATGAAATTATACACATTTACTTTTCTGTCACTACCATAGACCTGAAAAAGAGACAGATCGCTGAGCACAGTTTTCATGCTTACTTTACCTACTCTCTTGAACTTTAGAGCCCAGGTAATCAGGAAAGGCTAGGATTTTTAGAAAATTGGGCTGAGTACATGGTAAAGCATTAGAAGGTGTGCATATACAGCGCCTGAATTCATTGCGAGCTATAAAGTCACACGAGGCAGCGGGTGGGCTTCATTTTGTGGTCTGCATCCTGAGAGGTTGTTGCTTTGGATCTGGTATCATGAAGGCTCTCTTGGAGTTAGCTTTAGCTCATCTCCTTGTTGCTGTGATTTTTCTGGGTGTGGAGAACCAAGCAGTATAAATCATACATTTCAGACATTTGCTCAAAGAGATGGTTTTTGTTGACAGGCTCAATGTGCGTGTCGAAGAAATGAACTGCATTTTTTTTTTTTTTTTTGAGATGGAGTCTCATTCTGTCGCCAGGCTAGAGTGCAGTGGCACAGTTTTTTTTTTTTTTTTTTTTTTTTTTTAGCTGACAACCACTATTTGGACAAGTTTCCAAAATCATGCTTCCATCTTTATAATTTAAAAAGAAGTCAAACTTCCTAACTCGTCAGAATGCAAAAATTCATCAGCCTGATTAGTTCCAAAGGATTGATTGGTCAGCCAAGTAATTTCTTACTTTAATTTGAATCAATAGCTAAGAGAAAAAATATTTTTAACATTTCACTGATTCATGTTATATTTGGTATAATATGAATCAATGGAATGGAATCAATGGTATAACATGAATCAATATTTAAAATGGAGCACTAGATATCAAGACCTACTATAAAAGCATTTGGTTAAGGTGGTACCTGTCATGTTGTAAAGTTATTTGTTATTTATTATAAAGTTATTTATCAGAGGCAAAAAATAGTATTTTGTTGGGAGGATGCTTAAATATCCTATTTCTTCAATATGGAGATTCCTTAAAGAGCTAAAAGTAAATCTATTTGATCTACCAATCTTACTACTTGGTATCTACCCAAAGGAAAATAAGTCATTATATGAAGAAGACATGTATGCTTATAGCCACACAATTCACAATTGCAAAGATGTGGAACCAACCTAAGTGCCCACTGACAAATGAGTGGTAAAAAAAAATGTGGTCCATATATATACCATGGAATACAACTTGGTCATTAAAAGGAATGGCATAATGTCTTTTGCAGGAACTTGGATGGAGCTGGAGGCAATTATTCTAAGTGAAGTAACACATGAGTGACAAACTAAAAACCCTCTGTTCTCACTTATAAGTGGGAGCCAAGCTATTAGTACACAAAGACATGCAGAGTGATATAATGGACTTTAGAGACTCAGAAGAGGGGGAAGTTGGGAGGGGTGCTAGGAATAAAACATGACATGTTAGGTACAATGTACACTACTTGGTCCTGGGTGCACTAAAATCTCAGAATTCACCACTATCTAATTCATCTATCTAACAAAAAAATCACTTGTACCCCCAAAGCTATTGAAACCAAAAAATTCCTGTTTCTTGTCAAATTTTTACTAGTTTTAGCATCCACTGATTTTTGTTCCAAGTAATTATTAATGTGGTGGCTGCAAATATTGATTTCTGCCCCACCTTTGCCCCCATTCAATCGTTCCTTCTATTAGTTGGCATTCTTAGGTAAGTTAGAACTTGCCCCTTCCCATTTTCCATTATGTCTAATGAAGCTATATTAATACACATTTTCCTCTGGTTAGTATGTATGCTGTCTTTTTCTATTGGTTTATTTTTACATTTTTCTGTTTTCATGCTTTAAGCATGACCATTTCCTCCAGTGAGTTTGATTTTCCTTCTGCCTATGGCTAGAAAATGTCCTTCGTCTTAGGAACTACTTCAGCCCCTTGATTATTCTGGCTTAGAGCAGGAGTCCCAGATTAAGCTTCCCTACCTGCTGTTGTGAGTTTTAGTACTTACAAAGGACTTTTGCTAGAGGAATTGGGCCCAGAGCAACTTTTCCCCTGTTGGCTTCCTTGTTGCTCAGTTTCCTGCTACTCAGGCTCTGGTCTCCTGACTTTGCTGCCTTGCTTCTGTTTCTAAGATTTCTCTTAGATCTCATATATATATATATTTTTTCTCTCTAGGAAGATGATTCTGAACTGTTTCCTAAGACAGAAATGTACTGATGTGTTCTTGTTGGATCTTTCAGACTTTGACATATACTGTACTCTTGATTCACTTCATGTCAAAATTAAAGCACTGACAGTTGATGATTGGTATGTGCTTTCTAATGCGGAGTCTCTGGAAAGTGGGTGTTCTGTAACCAATGTATGGCAAGACTTTTTGTATGTTTCTGTACCCTACAACTGATGGTGGCATCAAATCTCAGACAAGAGCAATTGCTATTTTTCTTGGTTGGGTTGTTTGGGCAGCCCAGAAATCAGCTGCCTCAGAGAAGGTCCTTGTAAAGCAAGGCTAATCTGATTTTTACAAATATATTTTTTCAGAACATAGGAAATCGACATGTAATATAGATAATAGTTCCTTGCCTGTCAGTCAATGAATTAAACCTCTTAAGCATATTGAGCTCTAGGATAGGGATTGGCAAACTTGTTCTGTAAAAGTCTCCATAATATAGTCATGAGTTGCTTACTAATCGGAATATGTTCTGAGAAATGCATTGCTAGGTGATTTCATCATTGTGCAAACTTCATAGAGTGTACTTACACAAACCTAGATGGCATAGCCCATTTTACACCTAGGCTATATGGAATAGCCTGTTGCTTCTAGGATACAAACCTGAACAGCATGTTACTGTGCTGGATACTGCAGGCAACTGTATCACATTGGTATCTGTGTATCAAAACATATGTAAACATAGAAAAGATAAACAGGGTACACGTGTATAGAGAAGCTCCATTATAATCTCATGGGAACACAGTCATGTATGTGGTCTCTTCTTGACCAAAATATCATTGTGCAATGTAACTGTATGCATTTTAGGCTTTGTAGATCATAAAGTTTCTGTTGCAACTACTCAGCTCTGCCCTTGTTCCATGAAAGCAGACATGTGCAGTACGTAAACAAATAAGCATGGCCACATGTATTCTAATAAATTTTTTTTTTTACCAAAATAGGTAGTGGGCTAGATTTGGCTTGTGGGCTGTAGTTTGCTGAACCCTGCTCCATGGGATGCTAAGTTAAATTGAACACAGAACTTGCTCTGAATATGTTGACAGTTCTGCAGAGAGTATCGTTTTTATTTCTCTATTTACAGCAAAATCACTCATCTAGTAGTTTTAAATTCCATGTAATTATTGAAATTGTAGAAGTTCAGTCCATTTTCCACCAGAGAAAAGTGAAGGGACTTTATCTATCTATCTATCTATCTATCTATCTATCTATCTATCTAATCATCTATCTACATATTCTTCTACAAAAATAATAGCATCTTTCATTGAGTTTACTCTTTCCCTGGGTTTATACTAAGCTTCTCGAGGGTTGGAGGGAGAAAACTGTAGTTTTGAGGATTCATGTATGATCCTCATATAGAATTATCTGAGTATACCTCTATACTTGTCAAATTCTGAAGCCCAATTTAGGTGTAGGCCTTTTTTTCTTTAATCAGGCTCTCCTTTGGTTTTCTTCTTCTTTTTTTTAACATGTAAAAAAATTGTAAGAATTTATCTCAGAAATCAAGAATCCTTTTGTTAGACAAAGAGAACATTTAGAGGTGCTATACAAACATGAAACTAAGCCTGTATCTAGTAGTGGTATCATGAGAACTTTTATTATTATTTACCTATTTTTTCCTAATACTTTAGAATTTGCATACCTTCTGGGAAGAAAGCACAAAAAAACACATTATGGTTTACATTAGAATGAGATAAAATTCGTCAACTGGCCAAAGGAAATCTAGGACCCAATATTATATAGAAAATAAAATATTTCAGTGAATGTGCTTATTAAAGCATTTCATCAACCATGAACTATCTTTTTAAATCCTTTCAGTCTAATTGTGGATATTATTTATATTGACTTCTTAAGGGCCAATATCTTTATGAATTTTTCATATCTTTATGGTTTTTTTTGTCTAATACTACAATACTATGAATCTGGCATTGTCTCGTTTCATAGGAAACCATGACTTTTAGGAAGATAGAAATAGTAAGATATTCAGGGAAAATACAAAATTTAAACAAAGAATAAGCCCAATTATACAATAAATGATTTAATTGCTTTTTAAATAATGGTATTTGAATAATTATGTTGTATCATAGAAGCAATAGATTTAGATTAAATTAAAACTTACTAGGGGTTCCTGCTTTCCTACACAGTGTGCCAAGTTTAATAGATCATCTATTTTTTTTTTTTCTTTGAGACAGGTCTTGCTCTGTTGCCTGGGCTGGAGTGCAGAGGCATGCCTATGGCTCACTGCAGCCTCAACATCTCAACAGTGCTCAGTGGGCTCAAGCAATCCTCCCACTTCTCAGTCTCTGAGTAGCTGGGACTACATGCTCACACTATCACAACTGACTAATCTTTGTATTTTTTGTAGAGGTAGATTTATGCCATGTTGCCCAGGTTGGTCTTGACTCCTGGGCTCAACTGATCCTCCTATTTCGGCCTCCCAAAGTGCTGGGATTACAGGCATGGGCCACTGTGCCTGGCCAGATCATCTATTTTTATTTATTTATTTTCATTTATTCCATTTATTGAATAGAACAAAGTACGTGGAGCTGTGCTAGGTGCTGTGAGACAGTGCCACTCAAAGAATGACATGTGATTAATGGACTAGTACACCAATCTGTGACCAGCGGATATAGAAATGGAGGGTGAACTACTTTTGTAGCAATTGGATATCCAAGAATGCCATCATTAGGCTTGCAGTTTTCTTTCCTCCTTCCCTTCCTCTCCTCTCTCCTTTCCTTCTTCTTCTTCTTTTTTTTTTTAAAGTAATTCATTTTCATTGTCAAATGTATTAGTTCAAGGTGGGTTGTGAACCAAAAGCATGATAGCAATAGCAGTTTCCTTGGCTGAGGACATTTGCCTCAGGGAGTCATGGCTAAGTTAATCACGTGAGTGGCAGGGCTGCCAGTCTCCCCTTGTTTCCCTCCCATCTTCTTTCATCAGAGCCTTAAGATAGTCCTGAGATCTCAGGAGCCCTATTTTGTTGTATATCCTCTGCCCTGATTTGAAGAAAAGATGATTCTTACTGTGGGCTTTAGCCTTTTGTTTTTCTGTAAGTAGATTCATTTGTTTACATTCCTCTTGTTCTATAACCCCATTTCTCTTTCTCTGACTTTTTTTTCCATTGGTTATTGGGGTACAGGAGGTGCTTGGTTACATGAGTAAGTTCTTCAGTGGTGATTCGTGAGATTTTGGTGCACCCATCACCTGAGCAGTATACACTGCACTATATTTACAGTCTTTTATCCCTTGCCCCTTTCCCACTCTTCCCTGAGTCCCCAGAGTCCACTGTATCTTTCTTATGCCTTTGCGTCCTCATAGCTCAGTTCCCACATATAAGTGAGAACATACAATGTTTGGTTTGCCATTCCTAAGTTAGTTCACTTAGAATAATAGTTTCCAATCTCATCCAAGTCACTGTGAATAGTGTTAATTCATTCCTTCTTATGGCTGAGTAGTATTCCATTATATATATATATAACAGTTTCTTTATCCACTCGTTGATTGATGGGCATTTGGGTTTGTTCCGTGATTTTGTAATTGCGAATTGTGCGGCTATAAACATGAGTGTGCAAGTATCTTTTTCATATAACAGATCATCTAATTTTAAAAACAAATATGCCTTTCTGTTCACTTTTACCTAAATTTGTTCCTTTTAAAAACTTTGAATGCTTCTTTGAATTCTGTAAAAATTTAACTGTAATGTAATTGATGAATCTACTTAAAATTTATTTTGTACCCTCAGGTTTTAAAAGTGAAGGTTATTTTTAGATATCTGCTAATATTTATCTCAAGAACATTACCAAGGCGATGACTCATGCATATTTCATGTGCTGTTGAGCGAGATGATAGATCTTCATCACACCCTGCAATTTCATTTATCCATCCAAGGTACTTGTGTTTGGAGAGAACATTAAATGTCATCCTGGAATGTCTGTTTAATGATGATACTGGTTTCTGTTTTAAAATGTGTCATCATACGTGTTCATTGGATCTTCAACCACCTATTTTCCAATAAAATTCTGAAAACGAGCTGAAGGGGCACTTTCTTAAGCACTAAGTTCTGACTAGAGCTGGATGCTTTTCATTCCACATTCTGTATTGTTTAGTAGAACAATAATTTATCTCTGCAAATATTAGGAGATGCCTGCTATCCTTAGACAAATAGATCATTATTCATGTATTAATAATTCTTTTAATATACTGTTGATATCAGGATCAACCTGGAGTTCCATTAATTCCTGTATTTCATATTTTCTCTGTCTTATTTTTTATGGCAAAGACTAGATGGGCACATTAGGGTTTACAACTAGATCAGCAAGAAGAATGAAAAAGGTAAAGAATGAATTTAACTAGCCCTGAGGATAGTTGTTGTATATGTCTTCAGGACCCCAAGATGAAACTTAAGAGTCATTTGGTACTTTCATTAAGTTGTTCAATAGGTCTAATTATATCAAGCTCTTGAATACCAATTTCTGTTTTAATCAAGTAATAACATTTCTCATGTAACTGGGAAGATGTTTTTGCGGCAACTTATATGTAAAGGTTTTTAGATTTAAATCCTCTACTAAGAATCTATAATCTTATTATGGTGCCTGAATGGTAACAGAGCTTAGTGA
Organism: Homo sapiens; assembly: GCF_000001405.40. Taxonomy (NCBI): domain Eukaryota; kingdom Metazoa; phylum Chordata; class Mammalia; order Primates; family Hominidae; genus Homo; species Homo sapiens. The sequence goes on from NW_019805498.1 coordinate 47,724, forward strand.
CCCTCTCACTTAAAAATGGAAAAAAGCCTGTGTTAAATCAAAGAATAGCAATGATAACTTAGCCACCAATATGATAACACTGGGGCCTAAATAAATGTTTGAACACATATTTTATCTCTTGTTCATTTGACTTCATCAAAATTAAAGCTTTTGTGTACCAAAGAACAATTTTAAAAATAAGTGAGACAACCTGCAGAATGGGAGAAAATACTTGGAAATCATATATCTGTAAAGGGTTTAGGATCCATAATATATAAATAAATTTTACAACTCAGTAACACAAAGACAAACAACTCAGTTTTAAAAAATGGGGAAGAATGAGTATACATTTCTTCAAAGAAGATTTTAAAATGACCAATAAGTGCATGAAAAGGTGCTTAACATCATTAGTCATTAGGGTAATGCAATGGGTAGGTAAAAACCCACAATGAGATATCACTTCACAACGGCTCAAATGCAATAATAATAAGAATGACAAGAAATAGTGTTGGTGCAGAATGTAGAGAAATAGGAACTCTTGTACATTACTGGTAGAAATGTAAAATGGTGATTGTTTTACTTCACCCATAGCCAAGATGGCTGATTAGAAGCAGCTACGGTGCATGACTCTCACGGAGAGGAAGGAAAGGTGTGAGTGAATATAGCACCTTTAACTGAAACATCAAACTCAAAACTATAAACACTTCGAAAGACAACCTAGGCAATACCATTCAAAACATAGGCACAGGCAAATATTTCATGACAAAGATGCCAAAAGCAATCGCAGCAAAAGCAAAAATTGACAAATGGAATCTAATTAAACTAACAAGCTTCTGCACAGCAAAAGAAACTATCAACAGAGTAAACAGCAAACAGAATGGGAGAAAATTTTTGCAAACTATGCATCTGACAAAGGTCAAATATCCAGATCTATAAGAAACTTAAACAAATTTACAAGAAAAAAACAACCCCATAAAAAGTGGGCAAAGTGCATGCGCCCAGCACTTGGGGAGGCTGAAGCAGGTGAATCACCTGAGGTCAGGAGTTCGAGACCAGCCTGTCCAACATGGCAAAACCCCATCTCTACTAAAAATACAAAATTAGCCAGGTGTGGTGGCATGTGCCTGTAGTCCCAGCTACTTGGGAGGCTGAGGCAGGAGAATCACTTGAACCCAGGAGGTGGAGGTTGCAGTGAGCCAAGATAGCACCACTGCACTGCAGCCTGGGTGACAGAACAAGACTTCGTCTCAAAAACAAACAAACAAAAAAAGAAGACATACATGCAGCCAACAATCATATGAAAAAAAGTTCAACATCACTGATCGTTAGAGAAATGCAAATTAAAACCACAATGAGACACCATCTAACACTAGTCAGAATGGCTACTATTAAAGAGTCAAAAAATAACAAATGCTGGTGAGGTTGTAGAGAGAAAGGAATGCTTATACACTGTTGGTGGGAGTGTAAATTAGTTCAGCCATTGTGGAAGACGGTGTGGAGATTCCTCAAAGACCTAAAGACAGATAAACCATTTGATCCAGCAATCCCATTACTAAGTATATACCCAAAGGAATATAGAATAATATATATTCTATTATAAAGACATGCATGTGTATGTTCATTGCAGCACTATTCACAATAGCAAAGACATGGATTCAACCTAAATGTCCATCAATGATAGACTGGATAAAGAAAATGTGGTACATATATACCATGAAATACTATCCAGTCATAAAAAAGAACAAGATCATGTCCTTTGCATGGACATGGATGGAGCTGGAGGCCATTATCCTTAGCAAATGAATGCAGAAAAAAAAAAACCAAATACCACATGTTATCACTTATAAGTGGGAGCTAAATGATGAAAACACATGAACACATACAGGGAAACAACACACACTGGGGCCTTTTGGAGGGTGGAGGGTGGGAAGAGGAAGAGGGTCAGGAAAAATAACCAGTGGGTACTAGGCTTAATGCTTGGGTGATGAAATAATCAGAACAACAAACCCCCATGACACAAGTTTACCTATGTAACAAACCTGCACTTGTACCCCTGAACTTAAAAGTTAAAAAATACACAAAAGGCCAGGTGCAGTGGCTCATGCCCGTAATCCCAACACTTTTGGAGGCTGAGGTGGGCAGATCACCTGAGATCAGAAGTTCGAGACCAGCCTGGCCAACATGGTGAAACCGCATCTCTACAAAAAATACAAAAGTTAGCCGGGCATGGTGGCCCTTGCCTGTAGTCCCAGCTATTTGGGAGGCTGAGGCAGGAGAATCACTTGAACTCAGGAGGTGGAGGTTGCAGTGAGTCGAGATCAGGCCACTGCACTCCAGCCTGGACGACAGCGTTAGACTCCATCTCAAAAAAATAAAAAAAAACACACAAAACAAAACAAATGAAATGTAAAATAATACAGCCACTGTGGGGGAGTTTGGCAGTTTCACTCCTAGGTTGTCATGTAAGGACTAATAGTTAAAGCCTGGTATCATGTTCTATCTCGGCATCTGGTGAAACTGGAAGGGCTATAAAGGCATAACTGCATATTTATCTCCCTCCTCTGCTCCTGAAGATAAGGTCCCCACTAAACAGCTCTGCTTATCAAGGAGACCAGATACAGTTCCTGCTTATCTCTCAACAGTGGGTTTCAGTTCCCTGGCAGCCTGCAGAATTATTCAAACAAGCCAATCATACGCTCCTGTGGGATCTAGGGGTCACCTCACCCTCTTGATATTACAAAGCTTATGTCCCAGAGTCCCTGGTTGTTCCCTCTGTTCCTAAGTGCGGTCCTCACGTGGACCTATGTGCTATGTGGTGTTCTCCTCTGCAGGGCTGTGAATGTACACAGCAATAAATTGCTTTGGATGCATCTGTTCAGTGTCAGGTGTTGTGTGTTTGGGTATAACCATAGCCCTAGGATAGGAATCTCTCCCTCAGCAGGGCGGTGAATAGGAGGCGATTAAAGCTGAGTCAAATACCCCAAATAATTGAAAACAGGAATTCAAACAAATGTTGAACAAGAGCTTTCAGAGTAGTATTATTCTCAAAGATGGAAACAACCCGAAAGTTCATCAATGAATGAATGACTAAAGAAAATGTGCTATACCTATACAACGGAATACTATACAGCCATAAAAAGAAATGAAGTACTGATTCATGGTACCATGTGAACTAAAAATAAAATTCTAGGCCTTCAACTGATTGAATGAACCCCCATCTTGGCCAAGAGGACCCCAGAGAAACCTTAAGAACTATGTTCCCAGACGTCATGGGGTGGGGGGTTGGACATGCCTTGTTACACCACTTCCCTTCTGTGGTTTAGACACAACACCTGACTAGTATTAATGCTAAAAAAGAGATCAGGCTGGGTGCAGTAGCTCATGCCTATAAATCCCAGCATTTTGGGAGGCTGAGGCGGGCAGATTGGTTGAGGTCAGGAGTTCGAGACCTGTCTGGCCAACATGTTAAACCCCATCTCTACTAAAAATACAAAAAAAAATTAGCCGGGCATGGTGGTGTGTGCCTATAATCCCAGCTACTCGGGAGGCTGAAGCAGGGGAATTGCTTGAACCAGGGAGGTGGAGGTTGCAGTGAGCCAAGATCGCGCCACTGCACTCCAGCCTGGGCAACAGAGTGAGACTCCGTCTCAAAAAAAAAGAAAAAAAAAAGATCATAAGGCTGACACAACAAACTCTTTGTGGCAATAACATACCAACTTATAAACAGGACCCAAGGCCATGCCAAATAATGGTTAAGTCACACACCCCTACACTTAAAGAATGAACTTTGTTCTAACTGCCACAAGGTTTTTCTTTTTCTTTTCCAGCAGCTAAACAAGCACTGGCCTTGAGATAAGCAATATTAAAACAATGACAGCTTGTCCACTGCCAGAGGCTAACTGACTCTCCTGTGCCATAAGCCATAACTACAGCTTTGACTGGACAAGGGACTCATTTCAGCAACTTTCTCCTGATAAGAGACAACTGAGCAAGAACTGGTTCTGGCCAGTTTACAGAGGTTGCACACTTGTATAACTTAGTATCCTGGAAAGACCTTTAGATGTACAGGGCCTAATTGTAATAGATTTAAATGTTAAGTCTCCACCGCAAAGTGAACATGGGTCATATATAACATGCATGTTTATTCAGCACTTATGTGTTAGAACCACGTTAGTGAATATTCATAGCTCCTCCTATAACCTGTTAAATACATATGCTTGGCCAACCCATTCAGCATAAATTCCCATCTCACTCCTCCCTCCCTGCAATGTGCCTGCCTTTCAGGCTTTGCTGGAGGCTATGCATCCCAGCCTGTTAGGATGGCCATCTTGCAGTCTGTAACCCTTTATAAGAAATAAAGCCTCTTTTATTTGTAAACAAATAAATAAATAGCATGATTTTTAAAGTTAAGAGTATGATTCAAGTTTTACAAAGTGTCCAGAATAGGTAAATCCAAAGAGATAGAAAGTAGCTTGGTGCTTGCCAGGGGCTGGGAGAAAGGAGGAGTGGAGGGTTGCTTAAGAAGTATAAGTTTTCCTTTGGGGCGATGATGAAAACATTTTGGAACTATAGGGGTGATGGTTTCACACATGTGTATGTGCCAAGTGCCACTGAATTATATACTTCAAAATTGCTAATTTTATGTGAACTTAACATTTACAAAATTAGTGGTTATTTCAACAGAGGAAAGCATGTAAGCTATTGGAATTAGAAATTCCAGTATTATTTTATGTACTTCTATGTAGTTAGCTATTTAAAATAACAATGTATTTATTCACCTCTTAAATAAGAAAACAGATAAGTATTTTCAAATAAAAACCACTGAAATATTCTTCATAAATTTAATCTACTGTAAGGTTCTCATTCCCAAATATAATTTAAGTGATAGATACCTTAACATAAAATCCTACTAATTTTAAAGAACATGCACTATAATAAAAACGTTTAGTAGAAAGGACTTTGAGATTTCTGATGTTCACAGATGTTACTTTTTGCTTCCTCGTTGTTACATCAGTTCATAATCCTGGAGATTCATATAGCTAAAAACAATTATTTTGTACTTAGAAGCTGAGGCAATCTATGTGATATGCTACACAATTTCTAAAAATAATTTATTAGGCTTTTACTTTTACTTTTTGAGAGGAAGTTTTTTGGAGGTTGGTTTCTGCCAAAAGGTATAACCAAGTGATGCTGTTATTCTTATCTATTATCCCTTTTTCTTACAATTTTTCATTACTAGATTTAATTGTCCAAAAATGCCCTTAGAGAATATTTCTTTAGATCTCTAGATATGTGCACATTCATAATAAAATGCTTGTAGGGAAAGCAAAATTAAACCAGAAAGCATTGTTTTGCCAAAGCTTAGACCACAGGTGTGTGGATTTGTTTACCTGAATCAAAACCTCCTGAAGCTGATTACAAGCACCGATTAGTGAGCGCATCTCGTCCCAGGTTTACTGGATCTGAATCATTGGTTGGGAGGTAGAGCAAAAGCTTTTTTATTTTTCTTTTTTCACAAGAACCCAGAGTGAATATAATATGCAATATTGCAATATTGTTAATCAATTCATAAATAATTCTTCTGTATCACCACTTGAATTTCTCAAATCATCTTGCAAAGCCCTACTTTAACAATTCAATAGACACATATCAAATATTATGTCAGACACAATTTCAGACACATCCACATGCTTGAGAAAAAAGACATGGTGGTAGGAGATGCAGCCTAGAACCACTTTCCATGTGTTCTTTCCTGAGTTTCTGATTTACCTTTCAATGGCAAAAACCGCAATTACTTTTGCGCCAACTTAATAACTTCAGCTGTGAGGACAAAAAGCCAAAACTATGCTAAGGGGTTCTCAGTGCTTTCCAGAATGATAAACCATCACCCACAGCTGAGGAGGCAAGAGGTTTATAAACACCTGTGGAGGCCCACTTCCCTAGGTTTTCTGTTTCCTGTGATACCTTGGGCTGGAATCTGAAGCAATGAAGATCTCTTGTGTGTTGGGAAAGCTCCTCATGCTTTTCGAGTTGATTCATGGTCTCCAAGATTGTAAGAAAAAGAGGGAATTTTTGGAGGTGGCAATTTCAATCAGCAGGGCTTTTTTTTTTTTTTTTTTTTAACATATTGTTGACTTTGGGAGTTTGTTTTTTTTATAACCTAGTGATCAACTGCTAATAACTAATGATCGCAAAGTTACAGCCAGACTAGTTTTATCTTTACCCCTGTACTTCCTCTTGAATTTTTCCTCTAAGCTGATCTCAAGGTGCTGTTGTTTTTTATTTTTTTTTACATGCAAAATATTTCCAGGTTCTTTCTCTGCTGGAGACTAGCTTGTTACTTTGCTGAATGTGAAATACTTACAGTGACTGGCAAAATCAGGAGAGACTGCCCAGTGCCTAAGAGAGGAGGTTACCTAGGTCTACATTTCTGGCCGTGGGGTATGAAGTTTGGACAGAGAGTAGTCAGCTGTATTCAATTGTATATGATTCTTTTCAGAGTTGAGGCTCTGAATAGATTTGGCATAGATTTTAATCCTGATCTGCCACTTAATAGTTACATGACCTTAAATTTATCCATGTGTAAATATGGGATAATAATAAAATTGACCATAGAAATGTACTGAAAATGAAGTAAGACCTCAAACCAAAATTTAACATAGTTGGCAATCAAAATTATCATCGGAGTAACTGCAGTATTATTTTGTTTCTGAATCCTTAGTGTCACATACTAATTAATATTTATTGGCTCAGATATTTTGATGCAAAATAAAATTTTAAGTGGAAGCACGTGATATATTTTTCTATTGTGTGCAGCCAAATGTAAAGCTTTTTCTTGTTTCTCCATTTCAGATAGATATCACTTACACCTAGATATATTTCAAACATGTATTCCTGAGACCTGTTAGTAAAATTTGAACAATCCCTAAAAACAAAGTGTGCATGTTGCGATATTTGACTTATTTAGCTTAGAAATTCTCAACTATCGCAAGGACAAAAATCCAAACACTGCATGTTCTCACTCATAGGTGGGAATTGAACAATGAGAACACATGGAGACAGGAAGGGGAACATCACACACCGGGGCCTGTTGTGGGGTGGGGGAGGGGGGAGGGGGGAGGGATAGCATTAGGAGATATACCTAATGTTAAATGACGAGTTAATGGGTGCAGCACACCAACATGGCACATGTATACATATGTAACTAACCTGCACGTTGTGCACATGTACCCTAAAACTTAAAGTATAATTAAGAAAAAATTCTGAAGAAGTACTTCTACGGTTTTTCCACATTCTGATGAAAAAACTGAGACACATAGAGATTAATTGACCCAAGATCTCCCAGTGGAAAAATATACAAATAGGAGCAAAACATTTTCACTCTACAGTTGGGGATTCAGCTCAAGAGGTTGAAAGTTTCCTGAGTTCTTTGTTTGGGGGCAGACGTACTATTTGATGTTTTCCCTTTTTAAATTTTCTTTCAACAGTGTCTATAACCTGTTCTGAATCCTGGCTCCAGGTCAAACTTAGACGAACGCCGCTGTTAAATGACCTGCAACCTTTGCAAAACGAACTCTCTCTAGGAATTGGCTGTCCTGTAAACATGGTCGAGGTGGATTTCTTTGGGTTCCTGTATCTTCTAACTTTTTGTGGCATCAGAGTGAGCGTAAGAGCAGTTATTATTTCAACCAATAATATATCTTTTGACTGTTTTGGGTCCACAAACCAATGACTAAAACTGCAGTATTCACATTTTAATTGTCAGTTAATTTAATAGTTCATGTAGTATTGATTATTCTCTTCAACATTTTTGGATGTTGCTTCTATCTGTAGGAAAGACAAATAGGATTTGGGATTCCAAAAACTGTGTGTTCCTACTTTAAAATATTTTTTTGGCAACATATCTCTTTTGCCTGTGATAGTGTTTTTTTTGTTGTTGTTGTTGTTTTTTAAAATATTCTGGTTAAATCTAGTTTGAGAGAAACATTTCGTTTTGAAACAGTACCACAAATACCCAACTCTTGTTGTTGACCTAAAATTTTGATGAAAATGGGGTATATCAGTTTATATAGTTCCTGTATTAATAAGAGAGAAATCAATCTTTCCAGTCACCAGAAAACTTTTTTTTTTTTTGCTTTATGTTAAATTGTTGCTATGTTTTGTAATTATAGCCTAGTTTTTCATTTTTGGTATCACATCTATTTCTAGTAAAGATTATTTAGGTGAACTGATTCTATTTTTGGATCCAAGTACATGACTTTATCATTTGTTTGCTGCTGTATCTCTAGTCTCAAAAAAAAAAAGTCTAGTATTTGGCAAGTACTCAATTTAGCATGAGGCTGACTCAACTGCTTTTCTAAAGTTGTCAAATATCTAGTCAAAATTCACACTGAATAATTTAGGTCTGCCTAAATCAGACTCTGACTCTTTTTTTTTTTTTGCTTTTTGCAATGGAGTCTTGCTCTGTCACCAGGCTGGAGTGCAGCGGCACAATCTCGGCTCACTGCAACCTCCACCTCCCGTGTTCAAGCAATTCTCCTGCCTCAGCCTTCCAAGTAGCTGGGACTACAGGCATGCACCACCACACCTAACTAATTTTTGTATTTTTAGTAGAGATGGGGTTTCACCTTGTTGGTCAGGATGGTCTCAATCTCTTGACCTAGTGATCTGCCCACCTCTGCCTTCCAAAGCGCTGGGATTACAGGTGTGAGCCAACGTGCCTGGCCCAGACCTTGACTGTTAAACAAATGTGGTGATCAAAAGTTGTCTATGCAGACTCAAGTGCCAAATACAATGTCCCTGCTACTATGGCAGGGGCTATTAATGTCTTCTAAAACCAGGGATTTTTATCACTTAGCTCTGCTCTTCTATTGTAGACCGTGCACTCATACCTATTTTATTTCATAAAGTAAAAATAAAAGTAAAAATTATTTTGTTTTTAATCTATATTTTTAAAATGGAATTTGAAAGCATTTGAAAGAGATATAATTAAGATAATTTATATCCTTTACACCTTTAGGAACATGGAGTAGGTATTCTCATTGAAAGTTTAATTGTATATGAACCAACGAATTTTGACTTCAATTTACACATCCCAGTATCATGCTATGTGCAAAGGTAAGTGCAGTGCACTACTGAGATTAAGGCTATCTAATATTATTTTTGCCTTCTAGGTGTTCTGATCAGTTAAACTGCTGAACATTATGCTAAGGTTGGACATTGGATCAAATCTGATCTATGGTGTTCTGTTGGTCATGTGAGTAGGTCTAAATAAATTGATTCTCTCAATGTAGTTTCCGCATGAGTAGATGAGGCTCAGTTGTTATATGAGAATTGAATTCTACAGTCACTAAAGAGATTATGTCAGAAAGTTTTTGTTAGTAATCTTTCCTTTTTTGCAGTGTTCCTTGTCTGCACCTGCCCATACTGTCTCATCCATGGCTATTATAGGAGTTCTTAAGTTTTTGTGCAAACCATACCACCTTTCTGCAGATGTGGGGAGGAGCCAAGAGATTCAAAATCAGTATTTTCTCAATTTTAAAACTAGAATTGAATCAGTCTTTGATTTGTCAGTTTCTGCAAAAACTGACAAATTTTTGTATTTTATATATATATCTAATTTTTTTTATATATATAAAATCAAGACTTGCTAATGACCAAAATTCTCTCCTTATTGGAGAAACTTTTCTGCAATGAGAGAGTAAAGCAGGAGAGCCTGTTGATGAAGGTGGAGGCAATTCTGCTTGTGGTCAAATCCCTGGTTGAGCTGTTCACAAGGCCCAGTTGCATGTGTGTTCTCTCTGCCCCTAGAGTGTTCATTCCAACCAATTTTGAAGGTTGTCTCTGTGTCTCTGGAGACACAGAATTTAATGGCTATATTTAACTTACAACCACTGACTTCAATTATACTTGGTGATATCTACTTTTCTTATTCATTAACAGCATCTTTGGTCCTTCTCATAAGTGAAAATCAAGTCAGGTCCCTATCTCCAATGTTATATCAAACTTGGGTTTTCTTTAAGACTCCTAGAGTTTTACAGAGCACACAAAGGATTTGGAGAAGAAGAGGGTTTAGTATAATCTGAGTAGTACATTTCCCTCTGCTGCTTTTATCTTCATGTTTTGCTGATATGACAGGATGAAAGAGGTTGGGTCACAATTATCTCATGGTTACATGGTGCAATTGTGGTCCATTTCCAGCAATGCTGGCTAGATAATCATACCTTCACCCAGAAGTGTATCTCGAATTATGGATGTGTGAGTTTTTTGGAGTTCTTAGAAAGGGGGTGGTCATCACAACTGCATATTTCCTGATGGACCGATCTAAAACAAGGCTTACTTCTTCGTCCATACAACTGCCACTGTAGGCCTCCACACAACCTGCTCATTTTCTGTCTTGGTTGTTTTTTATTCCAATATCTTGACTTCTTGAGGTCCCCTCTCCAGTTCACAGGTATTCTTGAGTGAAATCCTGGAAATACAGCTAAAATGTTGATACCTGTGGGGGAAATTACTTAGTCATACTACAGTTCATGGTGGGAGAATATGCCCTTTCTGTCCCCTTTTCTACACCTGCATGTCTCTCGTGTCATTCTACTGCACAGGCAGATAGTTGGGAGTAAAATGTCAGCCTCTTGCTGTAGGAAACTCTGTGTTGGAGAAGCTGATAGAAACACCTTTATTTGGCTTCATTAAGGGAGGGAGAATTTTAGTGACCCCACTTATCCCTCTGTCATAGGCTAAGAACTCAGAACTGCATGCCTCTAATCATTCTCTGTAGATGTCTGTTGAGATGATTAGAGATAAGAGCTGCTTCAGCCACTTATTAAGAGTTCTTGGTATTTGACATTCCTGTGAAATTGGCTTCAGGTCACAATAGTACATTTTGGGATAATGAAAAGTCGTATGCAACCATCTGTGAATTTTTTCTCATATTCTGTGAAACAACACATTTTCATATTTGTCTCAGCTAGCTGATTTGGCATTCTCTCACAGCTGGAAGAGATCTGTTTAATTTAGTTTTTCTCCACATTTCAACTTTTTCTCCACCTCCAAAAGCATAATATATACAAAGCTTAAATATATTTTTTTCTCTTTTTCAGAAGGTTTCCAATAATCTTAGTAATGAGAGGGAGAGAGAATGATAGCCGTCGTGAATGCAGAAGGTCAGTGGGACAGCACCGCTCACTATCACATGAACTTGAAGACTTGGAAATCCGTCCAAGAGTGTCCTATGTGTAAGAGTATTTTGAATTAGTACCATAAATGTTTACAGTACATTTATATAAAAAAGGCCAGGGTTTAGTAAGGTGGTGGCATATGCCACATTTTGTGTACTATTGCCCATATGATTTTAGTTCAGGATCATTGGAATACTGCATTTTTTATGTTTATTAGGGATATATTTTATCTTGGCATTTCTCATTATTTCCTTACATAAAACAGATTTGCAATTGTAACCTCAATAGTTCTTTTATGTTAATTTACTTGAGCTAGAGAAAAACCATCTTTGGTGCATATAAGTATGGAATGGGATCATGGATTCCCGTAAAGATAGTAATTGATATCTATGTTAACTCTAATTCCAGCTTTTTGTTCTAAAAGAACTAAATGTCAGCAAGAGAAAACTCAAATGAGCCATAAGAATATTCAAATAGGCTATAATCTTTGGACTTTAGTATGCTAGAGGGACAGGCCCTTATTCCACGTATCAACCGACCCTCATAATTCTAAACTTCAGATGGTGTCCTCATGTAAAATTTATAATCATTTACTAAGCATTTGTTAACTAATAGCTACATATACACATAATATGTATGTGTGTATACATGTGTATATATCGTATTTGTGATACTTGAATCATTAGAATATTATAATGGTCCCTGGGGTTTAAAATTGATGCCTTTTTCCCACGTTCCCACTTTGTTGAGCCTCAGTGGATAGTTAGATGGTAGTTTCCCATCAGTACAACAATGTAACTGTTTCTTTTCCGTCCTTACAGGAACAGTGTTCCCTTGTTGAGCTACCTCATTGTATCCCTTCCTAAGTGTAAGAACAAAGCTGTACATTCTGGATGATGAGGCTACCCTACTTCACCTGGTACTCTGGCTGCTTGAGGATTTCATTGCCTTTTAGAAGTTGGACTAGTCACTGGATATTGTCTTTTATCATTTCAAATGTGATATTTTTAAATGAAAAAACCTGCTCTGTTGTCCATATTTATGAACCGTTGGGGTAGGGAGAAAAGCCTTCCCTTCCCAGATTTTAAACTTGTAATAAAGGTATTCTTAAATAAAGTTTTACAATTCTTAATAGTTATTTATATTTTTAAAAGAAAACTTAAGTCCTGATTCACAGAGCATTATAAAGTGTGAGGCAATTGCATTTTGTGAATAGGCTTACCCATCATCATCTGTTTTGGGTAGCAATTGAGTATCTAATACACAGTAGTCTTTCCTTATTCAGTTTTGCTTCCCATGGTTTCAGTTTCTCGCTGTCAACTGTGGTCTCAAAATACTAAAATATTCTTAATATCTTCATGGAAATTCATAATTCCATTTCATACTTGTTACGTACTCCAAAGAAAGACACATTCACATAACTTTTGTTGTAGCATATTTTATGATATATTTTATTGTTAATCTCTTACTGTGCCTAATTAAACTTTATCATAGATATAAATAAGAAAATTATAGTGTTTATACAGGGTTTGGTACTAACCACAATTTCAGGAATCCCCTGGTGGTCTTGGAATGCATCCCCTATGGATAAAGGGAACTACTGTATCATAATCTAATTCTCCAGTTGTTCCCCGTTTCACTGACTTCTAATGATATGTGTAAAATAAGATGAAATCAGGATTTTCTTTATAAATTGTTCAGAAAATAGCCTATTTCAGTCTCTTCTGTATTTTTTCCTGTCTGGATCACTTTCCTTTTCTGTGTGTTAGCAATTTCAAATCAGTTTGGAAATGTAGGTTCATCCATCTGGTCATATAAAGAGGCTAGAATTGAGAGGAAATAAAATTCCAGTTGGTTTCTGCATTATTGATGATTGTTTCAAACCAAAAGTGAATCTTTCTTGTCCAAATATCTCTAAAGGCAAATGGCAGCATTTGAAAAGAATGTAAAAATCTTTTGCTTTTACGGATTCTCTTGAAATTCTTCACTCCTAATCTCTGGATTATGGATCAGTTGACAAAAGTAACAAGGGGTCATAATTGCAGCATACTCTAGTCCTGATAAGGCTGTCAAACAGTTTAGAGCCCTGGATAAATAAGGCTTCCTGCAAATCTCTGCCCTTTTTTAACCAGTCAGAGGGAGGAAGCTCTGCCTCAGAGTTTAGAAGATGTAAAGGGCCTGGGGCCAGGAAGATTTCCAGAACAGCAAAAATCCAGGTAAGGCTGTAGGGTGACTGTTTCTTCTCACCAGTGGGTTAAAGACTGAATTTTCTTATGAGAAAAATTGAAAGTTGAAGTCCACAAATGTGTCTCAAATGCTGTTCTTTCTTGGGTAATGTAGTAAATAAACATGGTCCCCTAATACTATCCTGTTCTACTGCCCTTTATTTCGGTTTATTTCCCACAGCATTTTCCCCTTTTAAAATAGGCCCCTAAGGGAATTTACTAACATAATATGAACTATTTCAATGCTTGAATATAAGAGCATGAGTTTCATTTTAATTCATGAGACATTTTTCATTTTTCTCTAGAGAGAAATGTGTTACCTATTTTAAGTAAATTTGACAATAATTTAACTGAGTTGCTGTAATTCCTTGTTTCAATGAATGACTCATACACGTATATGCTCTCTTTTCCTCAGTTCTTTCAATTTAACAATTTAAGTGTCTTTTTGTTAGGCTTATGTTTTAATTTTAGAAAACCAAGAGTTGAGAAATCCTACAGAGCAGTTTTTTTTTTTTTTTTTTTTTTTTTTTTGTGCATTTCACTCTTGTTGCCTAGGCTGGAGTGCAATGGCACAATCTTGGCTCACTGCAACCTCTGCCTCACGGGTTCAAGTGATCCTGCTGCCTCAGCCTCCCTAGTAGCTGGGATTACAGGTGCACACCACCATGGCCAGCTAATTTTTAAAAATATTTTTAGTAGAGATGGGGTTTCACCATGTTGGCCAGGCTGGTCTCAAACTCCTGACCTCAGATGATCCACCCACCTTGGCTTCCCAAAGTGCTGGGATTACAGGCATGCATCACCATGCCCGGCTAATTTTTTATTTTTAGTAGAGATGGGGTTTCACCATGTTGGTCAGGCTGGTCTTGAACTCCTGACCTCAGGTGATCTGTCCACCTTGGCCTCCCAAAATGCTGGGATTACATGCATGAGCCACCATACCAGGCCTAAAAGTAAAGCAAAAAGGTTTTCTACAAATAAGTGTCCTTTGTAGAAATCATCAGTGCAGGGCCTATTAACATTGGTCCATCCCTCCCAGAAGTGTCATAGATGAAAGATGATCCAACCACATTTAAGTCTACAGACAGCAAGAAAGCAAGAGAAAATAAGTGGGGAAGGGTTTTGAAGAGAGACAATGCATTTAGGATAGGGTAGAGGCAGAATTGAAGGACCATGTTACTGTAATCCTCAAATATGCGCTGTCCTTATCTCTGCTGCATCATCTTTCTGCACTGATTGTGATTATGAGATTATAAGAACCTGACTTGAGGACTGAAAAAGTCGGCTCTAGACACAAGGTGCTCAAGGTCAGTGACATGCATTTGCTCTATCAGAGTGTTACAGAGGCAAGCTCCCTGGCCAGAGCTGCAGCTCACCAGTTCATGTGGTATACTGCCACGGAATTTGTACAGAAGAGTAAAAAACATATGAAGGCCATAATGTGACTATATTAGGTATCACCAATAGGTGGGCAATGTTATACAGATGTTAGGTCAATATATATACACACACACACGTGTGTGTGTGTGGGCATGTGTGTGTTGGCTCAGATCATCGCGGGGGCTAATTCCCAAGATCCGCAAGCTGGAGACCCAGGAAAGCTCATGGTATAGTTCTAGCTGAGTCTAAAATCCTGACAATCAGGAACATTAATTGTGCGAGTCCCAGCCTGAGGGCAGAAGAAGACCAATAATATCTGAGTTCAAGCAGTCAAGTGAAAAAGAGTGAATTGTCCGTTCCTCTGTCTTTTTGTTCTATTCAGACCCTCAACAGATTGGATGATGCCCAGCCACGTTGGGAAAGGCACTTTGCTTTACTTAGCTTACCTATTCAAATGCTTATCTCCTCTGGAAACACCCTTGCAAACACACCGAGAAGCAATGTTTAACCAAATAGCTGGGCACCCCGTGGCCCAGGTAGACTGACCCATAAAATTAACCATCACACTGACTCATCTATATTTAACAGATTTTATTAATTCTGTGGTGTTCCACAACCTTCTTCTAATATTTCTGTACTTAAGATATCCTATAAATTTGCCTGTTATTTAAATCTAAGTTTATTACTTCTTATTGATTTTTAACTATTTTCTTTTCTTGCCTTGATAGCACAATTCCATGCTCTCAAATAATACAGATGAAACATGTTATAAAAGTTAAATTGTTACAGAATTATAAACTTGAATGCTAGAAGACTATGGATAAACAGCATTAACATTCAGAAAGAATTTTTGAGAAAACAGATATTTTTGGAAATATATAAACGTAAAATATTATTAACCTTAGATGACTTCTGAAGATGTGAAGATATCCAACAGCAAAACAAAATAAGGATTGCAATAGGACTAGAGTTCTAGCCAGGCAAACTAGGCAAGAAAAGAAATAAAACTCATCGAAATTGAAAAGGTAGAAGTAAAATTATCTTTGTTTGCAGATGACGTGACCTTATGTATCGAAAATCCAAAGAATCCACAGGGAAGCTACTAGAACCAATAAATGAATTCAGCAAGGTGCAGGGTAAAGGTCAACACAAAAAAGATAATATTTAACATTAAAAGAAGTCAATACATTTCAAAGGATTAAAATCATATAGAATGTTGTGTATTTTCTGACACAAAGTATGTCTTTATAATTCAAAAATTAAAAAAAGATATTTTAGGCTGGGCATAATGGCTCAAACTCATAATCCCACCACTTTGGGAGGCCGAGGTAAGAAGGATCACTTGAAGTCAGGAGTTAGAGACCAGCCTAGGCAACAAAGTGAGAACCTGTCTCTACAAAACAACAAAGAAGATATTTAAATATCATCATATGTATAAATTGAGGAATAAATGTCTTAATAATCAATGATCAAAAAGTCATAACAATAATCAGAAAATATCTCAAATAAAAATGATTACAAAAAGGCCACAGTTCCAAACCTGTTAGATGTAATTAAAACAGCATATAGAAAGAGATTTATAGAATGAAATGTATTAGAAAAGAGGAAAGCTTGAAAAGTATACACTAACAAACCATTTCAAGAAATTTGTAGAGCGAAATAGATTCAAAGAAAAAAGAAGCAAAAAATAAAATAAAAATAGCATAGATTTTAATATTTCTGAAAACAAATCACAAAGCTCAACAAAGCCAACTGTGATTCTTTGAATATCAGAAATGAAAAAGAGGCATCAGGTTAGGCAGATAATAAATAACTTTAATAAACAGATTTACTTATTTATTAAATAATTAAGGACATAAAGAACAATTATATGCCAATTTATCTGAAATGTTAGAAGATATTGACAAATGCTTGGAAGTACGTCACTCACCAAAAGTAATTATGGAATCATTATTTTAAAACTGTAGTTTTATAACAATAAAATAATTATCAAAAACCTTCTATAAACCAAATTCAAGGCCCAGTTTGCTTCATGTAGTATTTCTACAAGACATTTAAGAGGAAAATAATTTCAGTCTAAAACTCTTCAAGAAAATTGTAAAAGAAATAATTACCAACTTACTTCATGAAGCTAGGTTAATCTCAATAACCTTCTAAGAGAAGGAAATGACAGGCCATTTTCACCAATGAATACAGATGTAAAAGTTTTAAGCAAAATAAAAAACAATACTGAAATATATAAATAATAATACTTTATAATATGGTTTGCATCAATAATGAAATTTGGACTAGATATTAGAAAAAGTTATTACAGTATCCTTTTTTTCTTTGAGACAGAGCCTCACTCTGTCACCCAGGCTGGAGTGCAGTGAGATGATCAGGCTCACCGTAGCCTCAACTTTCTAGGCTCAAGCAATCTTCCTGCTTCAGCCCCCCAAGTAGCTGGGACTACAGGCATACACCACCATGCCCGGCTAATGTTTTTGAATTTTTAGTAGAGATAAGGTTTCACTATATTGCCCAGGTTGGTCTCGAACTCCTGAGTTCCAGTGATTCTCCTGGCTTGGTGTGCCAAAATGCTGGGATTACAAGGGTTAGCTACTGCGCTTGGCCTTATCACAGTATTTTACCAAAATACCAGATTAATGGATAATATAGTAATCTCAGTAGATGCAGTAAACATAGTTGATAAAATACATCAGCTGACGATGATAAAAATGAGCAAACAATACAAAGAAACATCTTTAATTTGGGAAAGTTTAAAATACCCTATATCAAACATCATGCTTTTACAGGGTAAAATGCTGATACCTTTCTCTCTGATAAGAAATAAAATAAAGGTACCCATGATTACTATTTTTATTAAAGTCTTTGTTGGTGGTTCTAGATACAGTATATACAGCAACACTAAGGAATAAAAGATAATATAGAAAGAAACTCATTCACAGGTGAATCATTATGTATATAGAAAATACAAAAGAATTTACAGATAAGTTATTCGTTAACGATCAATTAAGAAACTCATTACAGGTGAATAATTATATATATAGAAAATACAGAAGATTTACAGATAAGTTATTAAAGTTAACAATCAATTTACAAAAAGCAACTGGAATTTGCTGAACCAGCAACAGTAAGTGAATAGAAAAAATGATAATAGGATGAGAATATCTGATACTTAGAAGTAAATCTAAGAAAACACATACAAAAACTATAGGAAATTATAAAAATTTACCCTGAGAGATTAACAAAGATCAAAATAAATAGAGAATATGTTCATTGATTGTTAGACTCATGGATTTTAGATTGATTCTAATCTCCTAAAAATCACAACTTTTTAAAAATTGAAATTTGGCAAGCTGGTTTTAAAATTTACATGGGATAGCAATTGGTCAAATACAGTCAAATACTGTCAAACAGAGAAAATGAAGGAGGATTTCATGTATCATATATAGAGATGAAGTACAAATTGATAATCAAGATAATGTGTTATTGGCATAAGAATATACAAAAAAACCCATGAGTAAAATATAAAATCTAGAAATAAATATACACATATATAGACTCTTGATTTATGATGAACAGACTGCAGAGAGGTAGATAATGAGAGACTTTTTAAAAACGGGACTGAAATATCTGGACATTCATTTGAATATACATATGGTCATTTACCTTGCCCTATTCAGAAAAATTAATTCCAAGTGTATTAAGAATGTAAATATAAAGAGCTTAATTGTAAAAAAACTTTCAGAAGAGAATAGAGGAAAATTTCTTCATGATTTTGGTGTAAGAAGGACTTATTAAAGAAAACACAAAAAGCACTAACCATAAAGAAAAATAAAATATACGTTAGCCTAAAATGTCAATAGTGATGAGTTTAAGAAACTGTGCTCTAGGTACTTAATACAGGTAGAGATTAATCCTTGATTAGGTTCCATTCTGTACTGTGGAAGTAGCACTTGAGTATAATACAAATATTTAGTGGAAAGAACTGTCACTTGAGGTTTCTGACAGTCGTAGATATCTCTTTTTACTTGTTTTTTGCTATGTCAACACACAGTGTTGGAGATTTTTATTTTATTTTATTATTTTAATTTTATTTTTTGAGATGAAGTCTCACTCTTTGCCCAGGCTGGAGTGCGGTGGCACGATCTCGGCTTACTGCAACCTCTGCCTCCTGTGTTCAAGCGATTTTCCTGCCTCAGCCTCCCGAATAGCTGGGATCATAGGCATGCACCACAACACCTGGCTAATGTTTGTAGTTTTAGCAGAGATTTGGGCGGGGGGGGCGGTTCACCATGTTGGCCAGTCTGGTCTCGAACTCCCGACCTCAGGTGATCCGCCCGCTTCTGCCTCCCAAAGTGTTGGGATTACAGGCGTAAGCCACCACACCCAGCCCAAGATTTCTATAGTTAATTTTGATAATATTCACCAGCAAGTATCCTGCATTTAGAAAATGAGACAATCTATGTAACATGTTATGTAATTTCTACAGCTAATTCATTAAACTCTTGCTTCTGAGATGGAGCTTTTATAATGAATAGTTTCTGCCAAAATATTGAGCCAGGTCAAATTATTATCCTTATCCATAATCCCTCACTCTGCCAGGATTTTACCTTCCTAGGTTTTACTGGACAAAAATTATCTCATGAACTTTTCTTCAGCAACCTGGAGACATACACATTCATGACAAAATACTTTGGGAAAGCAAAATTAAAGCAGATTGGGGTTTTCAAAGCTGAAACCACAGGTTTGTGAATTTGTTTTCCTGAATCAGGGCCTCCTGGTGCTTGTTGGAAGGACACATTAACGGGCTCACTGGGTCAGAACCATTGGCTGTGAGGCCAGGGAATCACAAGATCCTAGAGTGGTTAATTTGATTGGTAAACAATATTATCAATCAAATCATAAACGAGTCTTCTGTATTATCCCCTTGAAGCTCCTCAAATCATCCTGCAAAGCCCTGCTCTTAACATTCCAACAGACACATATCAAATATTATATAAGTCACCATTTCAGCCTCACCATGTGCTTGGGGTAGAGAGTACATCCTAGAATCCCCCTTGTTCACATTTTCCCACAGGTTTTCTGAATTATGATTATAATGACTTCAGCTGTAAGGAGGAAAAGCCAATGAGGTGCTGAGTGCTTCTCGGTGCTCTCCAGAATGATGAACATTACCCACAGCTGAAGAGGCAAGAGGTTTATAAACACCTGCAGAGACCTACTTCCTGTGATTCCTTGGTTTAAGATCTGTGGCAATGAAGATCTCTGGAGTTTTAGGAGGGCTCCTCATACTTTTTGCCTCGACTCATGCTCTTGAAAATAGTAAGAAAAAACAGAAGATTCTGGAGGGTGGCATATTAAGCAGTGGGGTGCTTTGCTACATACTTTTGACTTTGGGGTTTCATAATCTGATGATCATCTGCTAATATCTACTGGCTGTTTTCACTCAGTTTATTCATGCATCTGTACTACTGTAATTTCCCCTTGAATCCATAATTAGATGGATCATATTTTTTCTTAATCTGCAGACTTTCTGGGGTTATTTTCTTTTGTCTTAGACATGCTTGTCACTTTGTAGTGTCTGAAATATTCACAGTGAATTGATAATCAGGAGATTCTGCTCAGTGTCTAGAGTGAAGATTGTTTAGGTGTTCATGCCTTTGGCCATGTGGCTTAGAGTTTGGACAAAGTGGTCAGCTGCTTTCATTTGTAAATGATTCCTTTTCAGAGCACACTTTCAAATGGCATATCAAACTAATATTAACTGGGTCAAATGACATGCGTCAATTTTTTTTTTTTAATATCAAAGCAGCTGATACATTGTTCCAAGTGAGTATAATAGATAGTGAAACTTCCATTTCGGGTTTGGAAAAATTTCAAAGATGTATTCCTGGGGCCCTTTCCTACGTAAAAATTGAATAAACTCTAAATGACCTGTGGGGAATTTGGCCTATAGCTTCATTGTAACCAACGCACATGATTTAAATCTCCCAGACTTTCAGCCATCTTGTGTCCTAATGAAAGGTTAACATTTCCTCTTCCTAAGAAACTATATCATCCTGGAACTCTGTGTCATTGCATAGACATGATCTATACATCTCTGGCCTTATTGATCCCACTTCCTCTTCCAGTTACTGCCTCAGTTTTCTTCTCTTTAAAGTTACTGTATTCACTCTCTCCTATTTCTCTCTCTTTTTTTAAAAAAATTTAACTTTAATGAGTCATTCACCAAAAACACTCCATCAAAAGTTTGCCTGAAACATTGGTGATTTCTACATTAAAACATTTGACAGTTGCTCTGTTGTCAGCCCTCACTTACTTGATTTTTGTCGTAGCCCATGGGATGGATTATTCGTCTCCTAAAAACTTGCTTTACTTGGCTTGTAGGTCATACTGTTCTCTTCTCTTTTGTCCTGCCTTGCTGACATTTCTTTTCTTTCGTTTTCTAGTGTCTCCTTCATTGCTTGATCTTGGTCATACAAGAATCAATCTCAGAAACTCTTTCTTATTCTATTTTTGTTGTTGTTGTTGTTTTATCCTATCCAGTGCCATGATATCACATATCCTTTTTACATTCATAATTATCTCACGTTTAATCCCCAGTCTGAGTATTCTTTTTTAACTTCAGATGCATATTTCCCACTATCTGTTTGAATATCTAATGGCATTTCAGACTTAACCTTTCCAAACTGAACTTCTGCTATTAACTGCCACTTTTGTTTCTCCCACATTATCCCTCATATCAGCCTATGGTGACTATGTTGGGAAAAAATAACTAAAAACAAAATCTTCTCCCAGCCAAGGAAAACACTCCACAGTGGTAGAAGAGAAATAAAACTGTTCTATTATTGAATAAGAATGTGATAGACATCACAGTCAATCTGCTAAGAGATTGCAAAGAAAGAAAATCTCACTCTTTCATATAGCTATGCAGATAGAATTCCCTATATGTGTTCTCAAGTTAAAAAATTAGTCCTTAGGAAAGAGGACTTGACTTGATGGTACCATTTGTCACATGTAACTTGTCCTATCTTTTACCTGGTAATGGACATAACTTCTTTTAGGTAATTGGCTTTATCTACAAAAAAAACTTCATATCTTTATGATAGGACATAGTTCTGCAAATTAGAACGAGGCATCTACAGGAGTTAGGCTGTCATTCTCTCCTAGAAACTGAGATAGGAACACCTTCTTCCTTGATGTTTACATTCCAAAGAGATGGCCCCCAGGTCATTGAGAAAGACAGTCTCAGGTCTTAAAGCTGACAAAAGGTCAATTAATTCTTCAAATGGCTGTATATACATTTTTTTTTTAAAAAAGAGGAGAAAGTACTTACAAGTTTTCTGAGGTAAATGCTCTAAGCAAAAGGAGAGGAGGGAAAGCTTTCCTTAATTTTAATGGGAAGAATTAAGCCTCTTGTCTTCAATTTGTATTTACAACTGCACCTTACAGGTTGCTAAAGCTGAAAACTGTGATGCTATCCTGGCTACCTTTTTCTCTTACTGTATACATCAGCAAACCATTGATTCTACCTTCAAAATATTTGAAGAACTGGACCATTTCTGATAAACTCTAATGTTATTATGCTGTCCAAACCGTTAAGTATCTTTGGCTTGAATTATTGCACTGTCCTTGTAACTTGTTTTATGTGTCACCCCATCCCCTTAAATTATGTTTTCCACATAGCAAACAGAGAGCTCTCAACAAAATGTAAGCAGGAATGCATCATTCATCTGGTCAAAATCTTCCAACGGCTTTTTATCCCCCGAGGGTCAAGTGCCTGTTGAATGGCCTCCAGGACTACACGTAATTTGTTCCTTGATAGTTCTCTGATCTCATGGCCTGTTTCTTCCCCACTTGCTGTCTCTTTTTCCGCAATATTGGACTCTTCACTGCCCAGGTTCTCCAGGCAAACTCTCGTGCCTGTCATTTGTATTTTCTCTTCTCATTGCCTGGGATGTTCTTCCCTTAGTTATTTGCATAGCTCTTCTACTCATCTTCTGGAGGACTTTGTTCAAATGTGTCCTTATTGAGACCTTCTCAGATCATTGTATTTAAAATTTCAACTCTCTCCTCATTTTGTGTCCCTTTCATGTCTTATTTTTCCTCAAAATTGTTACTATCTAAAATAGTTCTTTAGTTTCTCTTACCCAACCATTAGAATAGAAGCTCAATGGGCAATAGAGCTTGCTTGATATATCCATATTTTAATGTCCTCTAATTTTTCCATTATCACTTCACATAATGGATGGGGGTTGGGATGGAAAATCAAGCACTTGGAGAATTTTGGACAATCTTGGGATAACTGAGAAGGAGCAATAATAATACCTTTTGTGGTGTCAGTACTATACTGTCTTTCATCTGAATGCCGTCGTTAGAACGCTCCTTCATCCCTGTTAACTAAACCTGTTGCCTCTTCTATCTGTAGTGCAAGAAACAGAAAAATACTTGACAGCGTGAGTCAGCAGAGACTCAAGACAGGGGTAAATAAAGAGGAAAGAAGAGAGAACAGTGTCTAGATAACTAGACTATTTCAGGCTAAATATAGTTGTATTTGAATATATGATACAATGATGGCACATATTCAAAAACATATTCAAAATATATCACTCATCATATATTCAAATACAATGCTTATGACAAAACATGAGATTTAAAAAATTGTTTAAAATGGTGGTTGTCAAACTGTTGCATGTCTCACCTGGAAAGCTTGTTAGGACAGATTGCTGGGGCCCAACCTGGTGTCTGACACAGGTCTGAGTAGAGCTTAGGAATTTGTATTTCTAAGAAGTTCCTTAGGATGTCAACTCTATTGGTACAAGGATTAAACTTTGAGAACCACTGATTCACAGTGTGGCCTCTTTGTTTCAAGAAATTCAAATTAGTACAAAGTTATCTTAGTGAAACCTAGGTGGTAGGAGATACAAGTAAGCAAGTACATTTCAAAGGTCACATTGGGTGGGAAGAGAACAAAGTAAAATGTAAAGGAATTTTAAAAGTGTTATAGAATGGGGATGGAAGCAGTGAGAAAAGTTTCCTTGATTCCCTCTGGGTTCTTCCTACCCATGAGCATGGAGTGTTCTTCCATTTGTATCCTCTTTTATTTCATTGAGCAGTGGTTTGTAGTTCTCCTTGAAGAGGTCCTTCACATCCCTTGTAAGTTGGATTCCTAGGTATTTTATTCTCTTTGAAGCAATTGTGAATGGGAGTTCACTCACGATTTGGCTCTGTGTTTGCCTGTTATTGGTGTATAAGAATGCTTGTGATTTTTGCACCTTGATTTTGTATCCTGAGACACTGCTGAAGTTGCGTATCAGCTTAAGGAGATTTTGGGCTGAGACGATGGGGTTTTCTAGATATACGATCATGTCATCTGCAGACAGGGACAATTTGACTTCCTCTTTTCATAATTGAATGCCCTTTATTTCCTTCTCCTGCCTGATTGCCCTGGGGTTGATAAAGGAAGCAATCACAGGTATATTCTTCTGATTAACAAGTTCCATAGGATTTAAAATATTTTTTAGTAAATTTTTCTTTGATCCAAAGTATTATGTTACTTTATTTTTAACATTATTGGACAATGGCCAAATTGGCCTATACAACTTAGTAATAGTTGATTAAGGCATTTTTTGTGATCACGCCTATGTCTAAACTTTATAACTGTTCTATACCCATAAATAGGGATATTCTCATGTGGCTGTAGTAATATACCTGTGATTGCTTCCATTATGAAACAGGACAAGTCTCTTACTAGAATAAGAAATGATAGCTAAGCCTCATGTCTAGTTTATTTTTAAACTGTCATATAGCCTTAATAATACTATATCATCTTACAGATTAGGAAACAGAATTAACCTGATATAAAATGTGAGTGTGGATAAAACTTTCTTTACTAGAAGTATTATAAGTCATACTAATCATCAAATCAATATAACCTTGGCAAATTGCAGAACTGTGAATATGCATACATAAGATCATATTAAACAATGAAATACTGTTTGAAAATGTAAAGAGACTATATAATTGTTTTGAAGTAGGCAACGTAAGCGTCCTGTTTCATGTTATAAATGCTCTAACAGATCATTTCTGACAAGAAAGGTGGGTATTCATTAGCTTCACTTTGGACAATGTATACATGTTGGAGAACAAGTTTAGCATATAAAAAGCCTTCTGTTATCAGATAAGGGGCAAACTTTCTCATTAGTAATATCAATAATTTAATATACCCTAGGTCCTATATTGGAGCCTTTGTAATTTAACACTCAGTGAGTCCCAGGAAGGAGCTCCTATGACTTCCTCACATTCTAATGAGGAAATTAAGCCATGAAAAGATTAAGTAAATCATCCAAGATCTCAGTAGAAAATATAAAAATAGAACCAAGGCATTTCTACTCTAGAGCTGGGCATTCAGATTGACTAAGAGGTTTAATGTTTTCTGAACTATTGGTTAGAGACAGACATGCTATCTGACATTTTCTCTTCTCTTTCTTCCATCAGTGTTTGTAGAGTGTACTGAATCTTGGCTTCTGGTTGAAATTAGAGGAGCACCTCTTGTGGAAAACCTGCAACCTAAGCATAATGAGCTGTCTCTAGGAAATGGGTGTCCTGTAACCAGGATGACGAATGATATCTTTGAGTTCACTTATGCTCTTGAGTTTTCTGGCATCATGAAATATGTAAGAGTGGCTGGTATTTTTACAAATGGCAGTCTTCTCTAGGATTCACATTCACTTATTAACACTGTGTTTTTTAATTGATAGTTGATCTTATATAATGTAATATTGACTACTCTCTAACTTTTTGGACAATTTTATAGTAGAAGAAATGTGAGACAAAATGTGGGATTTAAAGAAAACATGTGTTTCTTTTACCAGCTTTTTGCTACACATCTCCCCTGCTTTGATGGAGAGATTTTATATTAACTGGGATAAAATCAAACTTAAAGGAAACATCTTATTTAAAATAACACTACAATCCTTCACCTAGTTGTTGGTGTTGATGAAAATATCCGACTAAAATAGGAGCTACCTGGTTAGGTAACTGCTGTGTAACTAAGACAACCAACCCAGTTCTCTTTTCTGAAACCAAAACACTTGAAATTCTATTAACTATCCTGAATAAAATGGATCATTAGAGAGAGAGCCAATAGAAAATGAGAGAAATAACACTTAAGTAATCATGTGTCAATTACTGCTAAGGAGCATGTTAGAAGCTTCAGTTCTTTGATCATCATTGCAGCCAGTGCATATTTTACTTATTTAACAAACAAATAGTATGTGTTATGTACCAGGTAATTTACTTACCTAACTCTCACAGTAACACCCTTGGCTAAATAGTATTATCTCCATTTTTAAAGCAGACATTAGGAATAGAGTGAGCAAGTAATTTGCCAAGTGTCACACAGAAAGTAGAGTAGCTGGGACTTGAACTGGACATTCGTACCCTTAACCCATTCAAGTCTGATGCCTCACATCTCTTGATTTTGCTTTATCTTCCTGCTGTATTTGGAATGGCAGCTTGGTTTTCCTTTTTGGACTCGCATCTGCCCCACTTTCAATATATCTGATTTATCTGTACCAATTCTGCCTCTGTCTCCAGGTACATGACCACACCCTTTCTTACTGATGCATCCCCAATACCTAGAACAATGCCCAGCATGTGAGCACTATACAACTGCTATTTAGATAAAATATAGGCACTCAGTTAATATTTGTGAAATAAATGAAAAAGTCATGCCAATTGTCGGGTTAGATAATTGTTGCAGGTCAAGTGGAATTACACTAAGAACTTTTCAGAGATTTCTAGGGACGTAGTTTACTCTTTTTCACTGGGATTATAAATAGATAATCTTGAAGCAAGTAAGTGCTGAGATTTCTATTTGTCACCCCTGAGGAGAGACCTTGCCTGAAAAAGAGGCTAACATGGGATGAAAAAGATAGGAGTTTGTGGAGGGCAGTGGAGGTAGGGCAGAGAGACAGGTATTTGACAACGTGGTTGGAATTCTATTATCCAGCTATTCCTAAAGCAAGATTACCTTGGGACTCCTCAGGAACATTGATCAATTTGTGCTAAATTTAGATTACTTTGAATGTCTCTTATGTGTGGTAAATACTGTCCTGGATAATGCTCAACCCTACACACTCTCACTACAGTCATTTTATAGATTGAAAATCTTGGGGTTAGTTATTCCTTATTGTTACATAAACAGGAAATGCCAAAAGTGATATTTGAACTTTAGCAATCTGAAGTACTAGCAAACATCCTTGAATACCATGTTTTTAACATATACAATGTGTATTTAAAGTTGAAACATATCCAAATATTGACTATGACTGCATGAAAGAGTTGAATTATCTCCGTTTGACACTGGCATTTTCCAATTCTATAACATGAATATTTAAATTATAGTATATGAGATGCACATATATTTGCTTGTACTTTCCATGTTATCTACTACTATGGAGGTATGCTTATATATACTTCTATTGTTTTTCTTTAGAGATACTTCTATTTGTTATTTATGTTGTAGGTACTGTGATTTCTCATTCACAAATAATAGCTCATATCTGGGATTGGCAGTTATGGCCAGTGGATTAAATTCAGCTAGGCATCTATGTTTATAAGTTTTATTGGAGCATGGGTACATTCATTTAGATATTGACAGTTCATATGCTACATTGGCAGAATTGAGTACAGGCATACCTCAGATATATTCTGATTTTGGTTCCAGACCACCAAAATAAAGTGAGTTACACAAATTTCTTACAATTTTACGGTGCACATATGTATTGACTACGCTGCAGATTATTAAGTGTGTAATAGCATTATGTCTAAAAAGATATTAATTTTAATTTAAAAATGCTGTACTTTGTTGCTAAAAATACAAAAGATCATCTGAACCTTCAGCAGTCATAATGTTTGCAGGTGGAAGTTCTTGTCTCAGTAATGATGGCTGCTGATTGATTAGAGTGGTGGTTGCTGAAGGTTGGGGTGGCTGTGGAAATTTCTTGAATTAGACAATAATGAAATGTACTGTATTGATTGACTCTTCCTTTCATGAAAGATTTCTCTGTACCATGTGATGCTGTTTGACAGTATTTTACCCAAAGTAGAGCTTTCAAAATTGGAGTCAATCCTTTCACATCCTGCCACTGCTTGATCAACTAAGTTTATGGAATATTCTAAATCCTTTGTCATTTCAACAGTGTTTATGACATCTTCATTAGGAGTGGATTTCCTCTAAAGAAAACACTTTTTTTTCCTCATCCATAAGAAGCAACTTCTCATCTATTACATTTTTATCATGAGGTTGTAGCAATTCAGTCACATCTTCAGGCTTTATTTTTAACTTGAGTTCTCTTGGTATTTCTACCATACCTGCAGTTACTTTCTCCACTGAAGAAAGTAGTGGAAGTCTTGAAGCCCTTAAAGTCATCCACAAGGGTTGGAATTAACTTATCCCAAACTTCTGCTAATGTTGACATTTTGACCTTCTCTGATAAATTATAAATGTTCTTAATGGCCTCTAGAATGGTAAATCATTTACAGAAATTTTTAAATTTACTGTGCCCAGATCCATCAGAGGAAACACTATCTATGGCAGCTATAGCCTTACAAAATGTATTTCTGAAAAGACTTGAAAGCTAAAATTACTCCTTGATCCATGGACTGCAGAATGGATGTGGTGTTAGTAGGCATGAAAACAACATTAATCTCCTTGTACATCTTTATCAGAGCTCTTGATTGACTAGATGTGTTGTCAATGAATAGTAACATTTTGAAAGAAATCTTGTTTTCTGAATAGTAGCTCTCAACAGTGGGCTTAAAATGTTCTGTAAACCATGCTGTAAACAGATGTGCTGTTATCTAGGGTTTGTGGTTTTATTTATAGGGAATAAGCAGAATAGATTTGGCATAATTCTTAAGGGCCATAGGAGTTTTGGGAAGGGTAAATGTGCTTTGGTTTCAACTTAAAATTACCAGCTGCATTAGCCCCTAACAGTCAGCCTGTCCTTTGCAGCTTTGAAGGCAGGCATTGACTTCTCAATAGCTGTGGAAGTCCAAATGACATCTTCTTCCAATATAAGGGTTTTTCATCTGCGTTGAAAATCTATTTAGTGTAGCCACCTTCATCAGTAATCTTAGCTACATTTTCTGGATAACTTGCTGCAGCTTCTCAATTAGCACTTGCAACTTCACCTTGTGCTTTTATGGAGATGACTTCTTCCTTAAAGCTCATGAACCAACCTCTGCTAGCTTCAAGCTTCACTTCTGCAGCTTTCTCACCTCTCGGTCTTTATAGAGTTGAGAAGAGTTAGAGCCTTGCTCTGAATTAGGCTCTGGCATGAGGGATGTTATGGCTGGTTTGATCCAGACCACTAAAACTTTCTCTATATCAGAAATAAGGCTGTTTTGCTTTCTTGTCATTTGGGTGTTCACTGGAGTAGCACTTTTAATTTCCTTCAATAACTTTTCCTTTCATCCAAAACTTGACCGTCGGGCACAAGAGGCCTAGCTTTTGTCTTTTCTTGGCTTTTGACATGCCTTCCTCACTAAGCTTAACCATTTTTGGCTTTTGATTCAAAGTAAGAGATATGTAACTCTTCCTTTCCTGTGAACGTTTAGAGGCCATTGTAGGATTATTAACATCTTAACATTTTTGTCTCAGAGAATAGAGAGGCCTGAGAAGAGGAAGAGAGACAAGAATGGCTGGTCAGTGGAACAGTAGGAATATATACAACATTTATTAAGTGTGCTGTCTTTATGAACATGGTTCCTGGTGCTCCAAAACAACTACAATAGTAACATTAAAGATCACTGATCACAAACCACAACAGATACAATAATGAAAAACTAGAAATACTGTGAAATGATCAAAATATGACACGGAGGCATGAAGTGAGCACATGCTGTTGGAAAAATGGTACTCAACTTTCTCAATGCAGGATTGCTACATGTCTTTAGTTTGTAGAAAATGTGTTATCTGTGAAGCATGATAGAGTGAAATGCAATAAAATGAGGTATGTCTGTATTTTCAAGAGAGCTAGTACAGTCTGCAAAGACTGAAATATTCTCTGGCCAGTTTGACAACCCCTGAGCTATATTATCTCCATTTTATGAGTGGGGAAGGTAGAACCTGCTCTGAAATAATGAAACATTTAGTGAAAATTCATACTCAGAGTAAGTTGCAGAGCCTGTCCTATAATACAGGTCTGCCAAAATCAGGCCCCTACACTTAAACAAATGTGATCAGGAGTTGTCTACACATTGACAGACAACAAAATGTCTGGACATAATGTCAGGAGCTATTACTTGGGTGTTTTCTAAACATAAACATTTTATTACTTAGCTCTGTTGTCCTTTGACTTAATATAAAATAAAAATTTCTATTATTTTAAAAACTTTAACTCTTATTTTTGAACTGTTAGATTTAAGTAAAACAAGTTCATACTTTTTTTATTCTCTTGAGGAATGCCCATGGGGCATTCTTGTTGAGAGTTTCGTCAAATATCAACCAGCGTTTTTGAATTTCAGAACTTACATCCCAGTAAGATGCGCCCTTGAAAGGTAAGTCTAGCTGGCTACAGAGATTAAGGTTCTCTAACATTTGCTTGGTTGCCAGGTGTTTCCGATGAGACTAAAGATGTTAGAAAATATGCTGAGGTCCAGCCCTTAGACCTGTCTGACTGATGGACAGTGTTCTGTTCTTTTATATGAGTAGATATGTCATATAATATATGAATGTTTATATATAAAGCTGACTGTCTCAATGTATTTTATTAATAAAATGAACCTATTTGTTTCTCTGGTAGCTGACACTATTGTGGTTTTTAAAAAAATTTTAAATGTTTAATTCTTGTGGGTACATAGTAGGTGTATATATTTATGTGGTACATGAGATGTTTTGATACAGTCATGCATTGCATAATAATCACATGGAGAATGGGGGTATCCATCCCCTCAAGCATTTATCCTTTGTGTCACAATCTAATTAGTCTCCTTTGGTTATTTTTAAATCCACAATTAAGTTATTATTGACTACAGTCACTGTGTTGTGCTATCAAATTGTAGATCTTATTCATTTTTTTTCTATTTTTTTGGTATGCATTAACCAACCACCCCTCCTCCCTCTCTCAACCTACCACTACATTTTCTGGTCTTTGATAGCCATTCTTCTACTCTCTATGTCCATCGGTTCAATTGTTTTGATTTTTAGATCCTACAAATAAGTGAGAACATGCAATGTTTGTCTTTCTCTGCCTGGCTCATTTCACTTAATGACCTCCAGTTCCATCCATGTTGTTGCACATGGTAGGATCTTATTCTTTTTTTATGGCTGAATAGTACTCCATTGTGTATATGTACCACATTGCCTTTATCCATCCATCTGGATAAAGTGGACACTTAAGTTGCTTCCAAATCTTAACTATTGTGAACAATGCTGCAACAAACATGGGAGTGTATATCTCTTCAACATACTGATTTCTTTTGAGTATATACTGAGCAGTGGGATTGCTGGATCACATGGTAGCTCTATTTTTAGTTCTTTAGGGAACTTCCAAACTGTCCCCCATAGTGGTTGTACTAACTTATATTCTCACCAACAGGGTATGAGGGTTCTCTTTTCTCCACATTCTCACCAGCATTTGTTATTGCTTGTCTTTGGCAAGTACAAGCTATTTTAACTCGGGCGAGATGATATCTCATTGTATTTTTTATTTACATTTCTCTGATCTATTTCCATATGCCTGTCTGCCATTTGTATGTCATCTTTTGAGAAATGTTTATTCAAACCTTTTACCCACTTTTTCTTTTATCAGATTATTAGATTTTTTTGCCTATAAAGTTGTTTGAGTTCTTTATACATTCTGGTGATTAACCCCTCATCAGATGGGTAGTTTGTAAATACTTTCTCTCAGTCTTCGGGTTGTCTCTTTCCTTTGTTGATTGGATCCTTTGCTGTGCAGAAGCTTTGTAACTTGATGTGATCACATTTGTACAATTTTGCTTTGGTTGCCTATGCTTATAGGGCATTGCTCAAGAAATTTCTGCCCAGACCAATGCCCTGGAGATTTTCCCCAATGTTTTCTTTTAGTTTCATAGTTTGATGTTTTAGATTTAAATTTT
Source organism: Homo sapiens (assembly GCF_000001405.40). Taxonomy (NCBI): domain Eukaryota; kingdom Metazoa; phylum Chordata; class Mammalia; order Primates; family Hominidae; genus Homo; species Homo sapiens. Next base: position 79,621 of record NW_019805498.1, read on the forward strand.
TAATCCATTTTGATTTGATTTTTTGTATATGGCAAGAGATAGGGATCTAGTTTAATTCTTCTGCATATGGATATCCAGTTTCCCAGCACTATTTATGAAAGAGACTGTCTTTTCCCCAGTGTACATTATTGGCACAATTGTTGAAAATGAGTTCACTATAGGTGTGTGGATTTGTTTCTGGGTGCTCTATTCTGTTCCATTGATTTTTGTGTCTGTTTTTATGTCACTACCATGCTGTTTTGGTTACTATAGCTCTGTAGTATAATTTGAAGTTAGGTAATGTGATTCCTCCACTTTTGTTCTTTTTTGCTTAGGATAGCTTTGGCTATTCTGGGTCTTTTGTGGTTCTATATAAATGTTAGGATTGTTTTTCCTATTTCTGTGAAGAATGTAATTGGAATTTGGTACGGATTGCAATGAATCTGTAGATTGCTTTAGGTACTATTGATATGTTAACAGCATTGATTCTTCCAATCCATGAAAATGGAATATTTTTCCATTTTTGGGGGGTGTCCTCTTTAATTTCTTTCTCTAGTGTTTTATAATTTTCATTATAGAGATCTTTCACTTCTTTGGTTAATTCCTACATATTTAATTTTGTGTATGGCTATTGTAAATGGGATTACTTTTTAATTTATTTTTCACATTGTTTATTGCTGACATATAGAAATGCTACTGATTTAAAATTTTTTTAATTTTTAATTTTTTAATTTCAATAGGTTTTGGGAGAACAGGTGGTGTTTGGTTACATGAATAAATTCTTCAGTGATGATTTCTGAGACTTTGGTGCATCCATCACCCGAGCAGTGTACACTGTACCCAATGTGTAGTGTTTTATTCCTCACCACCCCCCACCCTTCCCCCGAGTCCTCAAAGTCCAATGTATCATTCTTATGCCTTTGCATCCTCATAGCTTAGCTCCCACATATGAATGAGAACATATGATGTTTGGTTTTTCATTCATGATTTACTTTACTTAGAATAATAGTCTTTGATTCCATTCTGGTTGCTGTGAATGCCATTATTTAATTCCTTTTTATGGCTGAGTAGTATTCCATGGCATGTATATACCACATTTTCTTTATCTCCTCGTTGATTGATGGGCATTTTGGGTTGGTTCCATATTTTTGCAATTGCAAATCATGCTGCTATAAACATGAATGTGCGAGTATCTTTTTTGTATTATGACTTTTTCTCTGGGTAGATACCTAGTAGTGGGATTGCTGAATCAAGCAGTAGATCTACTTTTACTTCTTTAAGGAATCTTCACACTATTTTTCATAGCAGTTGTACTAGTTTACATTCCCACCAACAGTGTAAACATGTTCCCTTTTTACACCATCCATGCCAACATCTATTTTTTTTGATTTTTTTGATTATGGCCATTCTTACAGAAGTGAGGTGGTATCGCATTGTGGTTTCGATCTGCATTTCTCTCATCATTGTGATGTTGAGCACTTTCCATATGCTTGTCAGTCATTTGCATATCTTCTTTTGAGAATTGTCTATTCATGTCCTTAGCCCACTTTTTGATGGGATTGTTTTTTTTCTTGCTGATTTGTTTGAGTTCCTTATAGATTCTGGATATTGGTCCTTTGTCAGATATATAGTTTGTGAAGATTTTCTCCCACTCCGGGTTGTCTGTTTACTCTGCTGATTATTTCTTTTGCTCTGCAGAAGCTTTTTAGTTTAATTAAGTCCTATCTATTTACCTTTGTTTTTGTTGTTTTTGCTTTTGGGCTCTTGGTCTTGAAGTCTTTGCCTGAGCCAATGTCTAGAAGGTTTTTTCTGATGTTATCTTCTAGAATATTTATAGTTTTTAGGTCTTAAATTTAAGGCTTTGATCTATCTTGAGTTGATTTTTGTATAAGGTGAGAGAAGAGGATCCAGTTTCATTTCTTCTACCTGTGGCTTGCTAAGTATACCAGCACCATTTATTGAATAGGGTGTCTTTTCCCCACTTTATATTTTTGTTTGTTTTGTTGAAGATCAGTTGGTGATAAGTTTTTGGCTTTATTTCTGGGTTCTTTATTCTGTTCCATTGGCTTATGTGCCTATTTTTATACCAGGACCATACTGTTTTGGTGACTATGGCCTTATAGTATAGTGTGAAGTTGGATAATGTGATGCTTCCAGATTTGTTCTTTTCACTTAGTCTTGCTTTGGCTATGCAAGCCTTTTTGTTTCCATATGAATTTTAGGATTGTTTTTTCTTGTTTTGTGAAGAAGGATGCTAGTGTTTTTATGGGAATTGCATTGAATTTGAAGATTGTTTTTGGCACTATGGTCATTTTCACAATATTGATTCTGCCCATCCATGAGGATGGGATGTGTTTTCCATCCCACTGGAAGCACTTGTTTGTGTTATCTATGATTTATTTCAGCAGTGTTTTGTAGTTTTCCTTGTAGAGGTCTTTCATGTCCTTGGCTAGGTATGTTCCTAAGTATTTTATTTTTTTTGAATCTATTGTGAAAGGGGTTGAGTTCCTGATTTCTCAGTTTGGTCGCTGTTAGTGTATAGCAGAGCTACTGATTTGTGTACATTAATTTTGTATCCTGAAACTTTGCTAAACTCGTTTACCAGTTCTAGAAGTTTTTTGGATGGCCGTTTAGGGTTTTCTAGGTTATACGATTATATCATCAGCAAACAGTCACAGTTTGACTTCCTCTTTACCGATCTGGATGCCATTTATTTCTTTCTCTTGTCTGATTGCTGTGGCTAGGACTTCCTGTACTATGTTGAATAGAAGTGGTGAAAGAGGTCATCCTTGTAGTGTTCTAGTTCTCAGGGGGAATGCTTTGCAACTTTTCCCTGTTCAGTATAATGTGGGCTGTGAGTTTGTCATAAATGGCTTTTATTACCTTAAGGTGTGTTCCTTCTATACTGATTTTGCTGAGGGTTTTAATTATAAAAGGATGCTGGATTTTGTCAAATCCTTCTTCTACACTGATTAGATGATCATGTGACTTTTGCTTCTAATTCTGTTTGTGTGGTGTACTATATTTATTGACTTGCATATGTTAAACAATCTCTGAATCCCTGGTATAAAACCCACTTGATCATGGTGAATTACCTTTTTGATATGCTGTTGGATTCAGTTTGCTAGTATTTTGTTGAGGATTTTTGCATCTATATTCCTCAGGGATATTGGCCTGTAGTTTTCTTTTTTTGTTATATCCTTTCCTGGTTTTGATATTAAGGTGATACTGGCTTCATAGAATGAGTTAAGGAGGATTCCCTCTTTCTCTATCTTGTGGAATATTGTCAATAGAATTGGTACCAATTTTTCTTTGAAAGCCTGATAGAATTCAGCTGTGAATCTCTCTGGTCCTGGACTTTTTTTTCTCAAGCAGGAGTTTTGCCCCATAGCCACCACAGCTTTATCCGTAATGTGGTAAGTCCCACCTGAAGTCAGCAAGTCTCAGAGGCTCCCCCCAGGCCCTTGATGTAGTACCTGCTTATCACTGCTGATAATTCAGGGCCCAAGGGCTTCTCAGTTAGCAGGTGATAAATGTTGCCAGGACTGCATCCTTCCCTTCAAAGCAGTGGGTTCCCTTCTGGCCAAGGGTGTGTCTAGAAATGTCTGGAAGCTAGGACCTGGAATTGGGGGACTAACAACTCTGACCAATGCCCTCTCCTGCTGTGGTTGAACTGGTATTCAAGATGAAGACAAAGTCCTCCCCACTCTCCTTTCTCCTCTCCTCAAGCAGAAGAAAGAGCTCTCTTTTGGAGCCACAAGCTATGCAACCTGGGTTTAGGGGTTGGGTAATGCCAGCACTTCCTTAGCTGCATGGCTTGTATCTTAGTAGGTCATGTGTTCCCCCAGTTCACTGTCTCTGGGACCAGTTCAGCACTAGGACTCATCTAAGAGTTTCAGTCCTTATGGCCTAGACTGCCTTTCAAGTTTACTTAGAGACTCAGAACACTTTAGCCCTCTGTGGTGAGGTTCGCGGGAACTCAAGTTCCGACTGCTGGGATTGGTGATTCCCTTCTGGCTAGGGATAGTTTAAACATTCTCTCTGTGGATGGGCATCAGCTGAATTTGGCCTGATTTTTCTTTCTTCTCTAACAAGATTTTGTTAGTGAACTTTCCTTTTCCCGGGCATTCTTTGTTTGTACCTACCACTTCCAACCTGCCCAGTCCCAAGGCTATCATAGGAACTATTGATTTCTTCTGTGAACATACCACCACTCTGCAGTTGTTGGTCCCAGGGATAAGAATGGCCCAAGAGATTCAAAGTGATTTTTTCTTCCAAAATGTTCAAACTAAAACAGAGTCAGTTTCTGATTTACCCAGAGTTATAACAATGAAGACTTGCTAATGACCACCATTTTCTCCTCGTTTTTAAGAACACTTCTGCAATGAGAGAATAATGTAGAAGAGCCTATAGATGCAGAGGTCAGGTAACTTGGCCCATTCTTGGCTCAGTTATTTATGTGGCCCAATTACGTATCTGTTGGAATTTTAAATATAGTCTACTTTTGAATAATCGGAGCTATATAAAAGCATAAGTAAATGATTATATTTCTTTTTCAATAACTCAGATCAGCTCTGTTCTGTAAAGTCTTCCCTTCCCATACCATTACAACATCTTTTGCCTTTTTCTCCTATGATAAATTAAGCTCAATGAAAACCTCAATTTCATATCAAATTTAATGTTCCCCTCCTTTACTACTGCCTGCCCTGGGTACAAATGATTGGACAAAAAGAAGGCTCAACCTACTCTATAAATACTTTATCTTCTGCTTTCTTTACTGCCTTGGTGTGTTAAGGTAGAGAAAAAGGATAAAAAGAGAGGAAGGATGAGTGTCAACCTGGCACAGTTGCATCCATTTCTATAAGGTAGAGAAAAAGGATAAAAAGAGAGGAAGGATGAGTGTCAACCTGGCACAGTTGTCATCCATTTCCAGTAGCTTTGATCAAGTAAGTTTTTACTGTACACTCTAAATGTTGCTCAGATTTGCTTGGGTCTTTAGGGCTCACTAAAGGCCTAGAGATGCCAATGTGTAGTTTTGATGAGGCAATCTATATAAGGCTTTACTGGCTCCACCCAGATGTTACTTTTGATACCCTTCCTCAGTCTCTTAACTTGGTTGTTGATCATTGAGCCTCTTATTTCTTGGGGACCCCTACACAGATAATTAGTAACCTGCACATATAAAGCATTGCTAGTTGCTATACTTCAGAAATAACTCAATCCGGGTATTGGTAGGAAATCACCTGCCAAATGTTGGGGTTGTATGGCTCTTCCACTCTACTCTTTTTGCTTCTTGGACTTCTCAAATTTTTTTTCTCCGTACTAAAGATGTATATGTGGAAGATACAGCAGCCTACTACATAAGCAGATAGCTACTTGGAAGTGAGATGCCAGTCTCCAGTGTAGGTATCCTTGGTGTCTAACTCTTCATTTAAGGCACCTTACTTTGGCTTCACAAAGAAGAGGAGTATTTCAGTAGACTCCTCACCCACCAGGCCAGGAATGCAAAACAGAATTTCATGATATTCTGTAGACTATAGGGTGACATGTTTAAAGATACCAGATCTGGTTCAGCAAATCTAAAAGTTTCTGGCATTTGCTACTACTTTGATTTTAGCTCTGGGTCACAATCACTAATTCTGGGGTAATGGAAAGTTCTAACTGACATTCCGTTAGAAACTTTTGCTTATCCTTCTGCAAAATAGCAAATTTCCGTTTCAACATAAAATGACTTGATTTGGTGTTCTATCTTTTAAAACCCAAAGAGAGATGTCTAGTTTATTTCTATTCTCATATTCCCTGCCATTACAAAAATAACAGTAATGTATATACCAGCCTCAAATCCCTGCATATGTTTTTCTCCCTGTTTTTCAGAAAGCCTTCCTCATTTGAACAAAATGTAATACAGAATAATACTGATAAATCTAAGAAAATAGTCCAAACTCAGTATTATCAAGCAGGAAATTGGGGTATCGAGGAATGTTACTTAGGTACGTACTTTGACTTAGTACTCTAAATGTTTTCCAGTATATTAATGGAAAAAAGGTAAGGGTTCAAGGTGACATACACCATACATTCTACAACATGTGCCATATAATTCCAGTTTAGGATCATTGTTACCATGCATTTGTGGTGATTAGGGATATATTCTGTCATAGTGTTTCTCATTTACTATTTTGAATAAAATGTGGCCAATTTGCAAGAAACAATAGCTATTCATGTTATGAATCCCAATCAACCAAAGAATGAAAATTTGACTACAACATGAATATAGAATGGGACTGGAAATTTCCAGGAATTACCATGAAGACAGTAATTGATATGCATGTTAACTCTTGTGTTTTGATCTGCAGGGACAAAATGCCTACAAGAGAAGACCCTTCTTGAATGGAAAGTTGAGTCCTAAGACCTATTCATATAGTCTATAGTTCTTGAACTTTAGCATCCTAGAAGATACAGATCTATACACTATTATTTCAGGGATCTATTAACCATCTTAAATTGAAATTTGAGATGCTATTATTTAAATTTTATAAATATTTGTTAATAATAGCTATACATAAGTATTGCATTGACTATACTTGGATCATTACAATATTGTAGTCAATTCTGCAGTTTAAAATTGGGTTTATTATAATATTGTAGTAAATTATGCAGTTTAAAATCAATGCCCTCTTTCTCAATCCCTGTATTCCTCCCTAGTTGAGCCACAGTGAAATATCTAAGGTTTTTATGTAAAAGCTTCTAATCAGTACTACTACCTGTTTGTTTTTCTTCCTTACAGGAGCAGCTTTTTCTTTTGTTGGACTATATAATTTTTATTCCCTGAACTAAGCAAAGGAATTAAGCTTTGAATTCTGGTGGTTAAGGCAACCTTTGTAACCTTGGTCCTCTGATTACCTGAGGATTTTGCACTACCTTTCAGAAGCTGCACTAATGCTGATGGATGCTATCTTTTGCTGTTTTAATAATGTTGTTTTAAAAATGAATTTGCTCTATTTTACATGCTTATGAACTCTTTGGATGGGGTAAAAAGGAGCTTCCCCAGACTTTTAAATTTGTAGGGAAGGCTACTTTTAAAAATAAAGTTTTGAATATTTGAATAGTTATTTCTCTTCTGTGAAGAAAGCTGAAATCCTTACAGGGTATTTTTCTAGGCACCTGTATTTTGTGAAGGGTAAAGGTGTACTCGTTAACCAACAATCTGGGTGGGGAGACTCGGTAACTATTATACTGTGGTATATAGTTTTTTGATTAATTGCCATTTCACTTCTTTCTAATGATATGTATAAAAGTAGATAAAATCAGATTCTCTCTGTAAGGTTGAAAACATTAGACTATTCTATTTCCTACTTCTGGCTTTTCTGTAGTTTTCTTTTGTTCCTTTTTGTATCACTTTTCTTTTCTATATAGTAGTAATTTCAAGTGAGTTTGAAAATTTGGGTTCATTCACTTTGTGCATATGAAGGAGCTATTTTTGGGGAAAATAATATTCTAATTGATGTCACAATTTATGACAACTTTGAACCAAAAATGAATCTTGTCTAACTTCTTGTTCATATATCTCAAAATATTTAAAGTGATGGATTAAGTGGTAAAGTTTGAAAAATCTTGTAAAAAAATCACATGCTTTCAGGTGTTCTCTTGAACCTACATACTTATTTTTCTCTGGATGTGGAATCAGTTGGCAAAAGTAAGAAGGAAATCATAATTACAGTGTGTTCTTTATTCCTTATACAACGACTGAAGGGAAAGTAACCTCTAGAATAAAATCAGGCTCTTTTTGGAAAGCCTGCCCTTTTGTGGACTAAATCAATCCCAGGATGGGACACCTGTCTCATAGTTTTCATACTGCGTGAGACCTGGAAGCCAGGAAGATTCCAAGGTGGAGGGGGAAGCAAAACACCAGCTAAGTGTCGAGTGACTTTTTTTCCACCTTGCAAATAGGATAAAGATTGAATTCTCTCATGAGAAAGTAGATGAAAGTTACAGTCCAGAAATATATCTCAAGTGTGGCTCCCTCTTGGGTAATAGAGTAAATAAATACATTCCCCTAGTGCTAGTCATTCAGCTCTACTTTCCTGCCTCTATTTTTTGTTTATTTTCTACTTCACCCCCTCTCCCTTTCTAACAAAATACTGACTAGAGGATTCATTGACATACTGTGGAATATCTCTAACCCTGAATATAAGAACACGGTTTTTAATCTCAATTTATATGAAATTATTTTTTATTTTCCTTCTCTGGGGATTAAATCACTAGAACATCATAAGTGATTCATTTCTACCAGATTGAGGACAATTTATTTTAGCTGTTTGAGTTTCAGTAATTCTTTCTGTAAATGAATGTCCTATATTTTAAAAGTTACATATTCCCTACTCGTCTTTCAACCCAAATATTCCTGAGTTAGATCTAGCTTGCTGAAATTCTAGAAAGCCAAAAATTGAACACTTAAAAATTTTAAATAAAATCAAAAGCAAAAAGAAAATGTCCTATTAGTTTTAGGCACATTAGGCCATCTCTGAAAGACACAGCACCTCCCAAAGCTCATAGACCAAAGGATGATGCTAAAAATCACATGGGGAATAAAATCAATTTAAAACTTGTAGTAAGAGGCCAGGAAAAATAAGTAGGCACTGGTGGAAGATAACACACTTAGGGTAGGGGGCAAGCAGGATGGAAGGACCACACTTGCAGCATCCTGGGGTGTATACTGTACATATATCTTGTATCTTTCCCTACTGTATCATCCTTCTCTATTGATTAATTATGAGGTTACAAGGACCAGCATTGAGGATTGAGCAAGGCCACAAACAGAAGGTACTCAGAGTCAACAGCACACGTTTGCTCTATCAGAGAAATGCAGTGGTAAGTGTTACTGGAGTTAGCTATGACATAATTCCAAGAGATGTGTGTGTGTGTGTGTGTGTTTGAGGGGGTTGTAGTGGAACACATGGGGCCAGGATGGGACCAAACTAGATGTTACTAATTGGTGGGCAATTTGGGGTTACAGAGTTGTCTGGTCAATGATGACATGATGGAAAAATATTTTTCCCCATATTTCCCCTAATGTTTTTGTATATTTCATCCTGTTTTCTATTTATTTATCCTTCTGGTTAGTATTTCACTCACCTATATTCAATGCATCTTATTCTGCCTGTTTCACTGGCTTCTTACTTGCTTATGTCACTTCTAATGAGTTTTGACCACTTTGTTTTCTGCTTTTAGAGATAAATATTCTCAAATCACACAGTAAATCTACACTATAAAAGGTTATTAACTTGTACAGGCTTATCTGTAAACTTGGATGCTAAAGGTCTACAGAATAATAGCAATTGTGATCAAATTTATTTTAATCTTTCCCCCCATATTCAGGCTAACTAGATTTCATTTGTGAGAAGAAAAAGACTTAAATGTATAGTCTTAAAGTATTATTCATCTTAGATATCCTGATGGTATAAAGATATCAAAAAATCAAATAAGGATTACAATAAATAATACAGATCCCCTTCTAAAGAATTATTAGACTATGTGCTCCAAAAGAAAAAATGTAAATGCAAATAAAGTTAGAGAGCTAAGATATTGGCAAAATTCATTCTTTGGCATAAATTTAGTACTGGAATGTAAAATCTGAAAATCCCAAATTATCATAAAATGTTGGAAAAATGTGATAAGTTCCCCGCACAAGAATACAGATTGTGTATTAGCTTTGTTTTTCTCACAACGAATTTCCACAAATTTATTGGCTTCAAACAACATTCGTTTATTGCCTCATAGTTTTCTGGGGTTGGAGTCCAGGCACCAAGTGGCTCATTTAGATTCTCTGGAGTCTCACAAGAGTGAATCAAGTTGTCAGCAGGGCTCTTGGGTAATTTAAGTTGGCAGAATTCAGTTCCTTGTAATTGGAGAACTGAAATTCCTATTTTCTTGCTGGTCATCGGCTGGGGGTAGTTCTCAGCTTTTAGAGAACTCACATGTCTTCCTATATGGATCCTTCTAAAGCAGCAATGACAGGACGAGTTTCTCACACACTTCGATTTCTCTGACAGATCCTTTTCTGAGGCAGTCTCCCTGGCTGGAAGCAGTCCTTACTGTTAAGGACTCACTCAATTAAATTGGGTTTCTCAGACAATCTGGGATAATCTCTCTATTTTAAAGCCCTTAATCTTAATTATACCTGCAAAGTACCTAGATTAATGCTTCCTTGAATAAGTCAGGGATAGGAATCTGGAGGAAATAGCTTTAGAATTCTGCCTACCACATACTAATTAACTCCAGATGATCATAGAAAAATGGAGGATTCTCCATTTTGAAAATTCAAAGATGTACAGAGAAGATTTAAAAATAGCAGGCCTGAGACTGCTACTCTTGGGCCTGCTTGCAAGGTTGGCTCTTGGCTACCATGTGGTAATTTGGATTTGGGGAGGGTCCCCTGAACCCTAACTAATAAGAGTAGCTCAGTGTGCCTAAAACCGTACAAACAATATGTTGTATACCTGCTTTCCTTTTGGGAATCTGCGTTGTGGGTACATGCCAGGAACAGAAGGCTTACCTGACCAGCCCCTAATAATAAAACAGACCCTGGATAGTGAGTCTCTAATGACCTTCCTGGATAGACAATACTTCACATGTTGTCACAAATAAGTGTAGGAGGAATTAAGCCCATCCTGTGTGTCTTCACTGGGAGAGGAATTTTGGAAGCTTGCACCTGGTTTCCTTTGGACATCATTCCATGGACCTTTTCCCTTTGCTGATTTTGCTCTGTATCCTTTTTCTGTGATAAATCATAGTGGGATATGACTACATGCTGAGTCCTGTGAGTCCCCGTAGGAAACTGCCAGTGATCTTGAAGACTCCCGCCCTCTTAAAAAGTATATATAAAACTTTCAAAGAAATATATAGGGGACTCACAAGTTGCCAGAGAATTAACCATGTAGAAACAAGGCAAATCTAATAAAACTCAGGTGTAAGAAGAAAAATTATAATAAATAACATAATGTAGCAGGAATAATCCAAAATTATCACTTATCTTAAAATATGTAAATAGTTTACATAATCCCTATAAGAATTTTATAATTAGACTTTTTATAAATGTTATATAATTTTAGGCCAATATATTTGAAAATGAAGATGAATAATACTTTAGGAAAGTATTACAATATAGATTCAAGATACAGAAAGTCTGAAGAGAGAATTAGAGACCAATTTAGAAGTCGTCACATATTTACAAATAATATATTTGTTAACATATGTTATAAACCAATTTCACTAATTGTAAACAAAGATATCTGCATTTCATAAGTAATCTCATAGTCTTAAAAAAATAAGGACAGATAATTCTCTCCAATTTATGATAACTGGCCAGGGCAATACAGGCACCTAAATTGTTGACCTATATATAAATATATGTATACAAAAATATAGGAAGAGATTCAGAAATATATAATTAGAAAACTAAATGCAGTATCTTTAAAAATAATCAGGAAAGAATTCAAAGTAATATTAACAGGCATTCTATTAAGGTACTTCAGTATAGTAACAGATTCAAGTGAGAAAAAGAATTTTTCATTGCGAGGACATGCTCCAAGTAATTAACCCCTTTAATCATGTGAATTAACACTTCAATCCACACAGCCAGCAACCCCTCTATAGTATATTGACTATTTTTTTCTGTACAAAGGAAATAACTGCAGCAAATAGAGGTTAAATAACATGTCCTAGATGATACCACTGCTAGGCATAGCTTCAGAACTTTTGCTTTTAACAACTATGTTTTACTGCTTCTCCATATTAGAGAAATCTTAGTAGTAAACATGTAAAAGTAAAATAAAATTTGTAGTAATTATTCACCTAATTATAAGAACATAAACTAAAACTGTATTAATGTATAGTTTTACCAGAATAGAAATGGTGATGCTGAAACAGGTTTTAGAAATTGACCTATACATAGGTGTATGATTAATTTATGATGAAAGAAAGTGTGGATTAGTTCATAAGGCATGTGGACTACACTTTTAGGTACATTTCTACACTCTGCACAAAAATTATGACTTTAAGAGGTAAAAATATTTTGAAAATCAGAATATTTATAAAATAAATGACATAAATTATATATAGTATATATTTACAACATAAATATTTATAACATTATAAAGTAAACTGGTATAGATGATATTTTCCAAGCAAGAGTCAATATCCAGGAATCATTAAGAAAATATATCTTTATAGTTTTATAACAAAAATTTTGAAGATAAATGACAGAAAACTATCACTAAGTATAATTTTAAAAGCTTAATATCCAGATTATAAAAATTATACCTATATAAAAGAATAAACATTTAATATAAAAATAATAAAATGATATAAATGATCCACATAGGTGAGTAGTAACCATTTAAAAAACTCAGTCTTGTTAGAAATCAAACAACTCAATAACAAGAAAAATAACCAGTCAAAAAATGGGGAAAAGACCTGAATAGACATTTCTCAAAAGAAAACATACAAATGGCCAAAAGGAATATGAAAAAAATAACATTACTAAACATCAGAGAAATGCACATTAAAATCACAATGAGATGTTAGAATGGCTATTATAAAAAAGATGAAAATTCACAAATCCTGGCAAGAATGTGGAGAAAAGGGAACCCTTACATTCCTATTGGTTGGAATATAAGTTAGGACAGCCATTATAAAAAACACTATGGAGGTTCCCCAAAAAACTAAAAACTGAATTACCATGTGATTCAGCCATCCATTTCTGGGTATATATGTAAAGGAATTGAAATCAGTATGGTGAGGAGATATCTGCATTCTCATATTCAGTGCAGCAGCATTTACAATGTCCAAGATATGGAATCGACCCAAGTGTCCATCAATGGATGAATGGATAAAGAAAAATGTGGTACACATGTGCAATGGAATGTTATTCAGCCTTATCAAAGAGGGAAATTCTGTCATTGGTGACAACATGGATGAACCTGGATAACATCCTAAGTGAAATAAGCCAGGCACAAAAAGGCAAATACTGTATGATCTCACTTACATGTGATATCTAAAAAAGTCACTCATACAAGTGGAAAATCGAATGGTCATTACCAGAAGCTGGAGAGTGGATGGGAGGGAGAGATGGAGAGATGTCATTCAGTTAGGAAGAATAAGGATTTGAAATCTATTGCACAGCATAGTGACTATAGTTAAATAATAATGTATATTTTGGGCTGTTCTTGGAGATCATGGCAGACAGGAGTCAGGGCTAGATTGCAGCTCCAACTCACACAGACAGAGCAGTGTGCCGAGGCTTGCATTGTGAATTTTAGTTCCAAATCAACTGCAAGAACAAACCAGCAATCCCAAGAGGACCCACAGGCCCTCTGAAGGAAGTGGACTGCTCCTGCAGGACACAGGAGACACCCCAAATACTGTGAGTGCTCCAACTGCAGAAGTGGGAGAGGGAAATCTTCCTCTCTTGAACACACACCCCTGGAGAAACTGAAGGTCTGTTTGCAGGAGAAGTTTCTGACCTTACCTGGAGCTGAGTCAGTTTAGAGAGCCAAGCAAAATATAGGGGTAGAGGAAGCAGTAGGAAATGCTTTGGGACCTCGCTGGGTCCCCAAGCAGGCCATTCCTGCCTGGCACCACAGGTATCCATCAGGATGGAAGACAGAGAAGCTGGGGAAAACACCACAGGGAGAAGGAAGTCTCCAGCTGAATTTTGTAACAATTTGAACCAGGCAAGAAGCCTCCTGGCCAGAATTCGGGAAAGGGTGCGAATCTGATGTGCAGACTCCACAGGAGGGGGAAGAACCAAGCTCTTTTCTTTCACAGCTGGGAGGTGGGTAGCCTGGGGCAAGTTCTGAAGCCCAACTTGCCCACCACCTGGAAAAAGGCTCAAGGCTGTTAATGGGGGCATGATAGGAGTGAGATCAGCTCTTCGGTTTGTGTGGGAGTTGGGTGAAACCTGTGACTGCCATCTTTTCCCTACTTCCCTGACAACCTGCATGACTCAGCAGAGGCAGCCATAATCCTCCTAGATACACAACTCCATTGACGTGGGAACCTTACTCCCATCCCCTACAGCAGCTGTAGCAAGACCTGCCCAAGGAGAGTCTGAGCTCAGACTTGGGTGATGGGTGCACCACAATTTCACAAATCATTATATGAAATTTCACAATAATTTATGAAAAAAATGTATATTTCAAAATTGTCAAGAGTAAATTTCAAGTGCTCTTGCCACAAAAATAAGTATGTGAGGTGATGCATGTGTTAATTAACTTGATCTAATTATTTCATAATGTATACCTGTATTAAAATATTACATCGTACCCTATAAATATATAAATATTATTTGTTAATTAGACATTTTTTAAAAGCTATGAAACTATTTTAAAAAGTAGGACTAGTTTGTTTAACAGAATATCAAAATTTGATAACATAGACAATAACCAATGTTTATAAATTGAATTTAGATTTTCAAAGTGAAAACAGATCACACATTTATTTGAAGGCACATAGGATATAGCTACCAAAATGTAAATATTTGGCCCTTTTCCTAAGCTTCTTCTAATTCTATAAATAAATTTTAAGAAAAATTTTAAAAAATGCAAAAGAGAGTTAAAGTTTCTGGTAATGGCAGGCTGGGGTTTATAGATGAGCATGTGAGCTGAAAAACATGGATAATGTTAGAATAAACATTTTTTTCCTAACACAAAGAAATAATACACATTTAAGACGATGGATGTCTTAATTACCCCGATTTGATCATTACACATTGTATGATTGTATCAAAATATCACCTGTATCCAATAAAGATGTACAGCTATTATGTATTCATAATAATTAAAAATAAAAGAATTTTAAAAGATTATAGAAGCTGAAAAATTCCCATTGCCTAGTGAAGCATAGCTGTCATAACGTTGTAGCACAATGCATTACTCACATGTTTGTGGTGATGCCGTTGCAAATAAACCTGTGCCGCCAGTTATATAAAAGTATAGAAATACAGTTATATACTGTATATAATACTTGAAAATGATAACAAATGACTATGTTACTGGCTTGTGTATTTACTTTTTATAATTGTTTTAGAGTGTATTCCTTCTATTTATTAAAAATAAGGTGAACTAAAACAGCCTCAGACAGCTTCTTCCGCAGGTATTCCAGAAGAAGACATTGTTATCACAGGAGATGACAACTCCTTGTGTGTTATTGCCCACGAAGACCTTCCAGTGGGACAATATGTGGAGAGGGAAGACGGTGAGATTGAGGATCCTGACCCTGCATAGGCCTAGACTAGTGCGTATATTTGTTTCTTACTGTTTAAGAAAAAAGTTTAAAGAGTAAAAAATGAAAAGTTTTAAATATAGAAAAAAGCTTATAGAATAAGGATAGAAAGAGTTTTTGTACAGCTGTACAGTGTATGTGTTTTAAGCTAAGCTAGCTGTTATTACAAAATGGTCAAAAAGTAAAAAAAAATAATTTTATAAAGTAATAAAGTTAAGCTAAGGTTAATTATTGAAGAAAAAATTTTAAAATGAATTTACAGTAGCCTAAGTGTAAGTGTTGAGTCTCCAGTAGCTTACAGTAATGTCCTAGGCATTCACGTTCACTCATCACTCACTCACTGACTCACCCAGAGCAACATCCAGTCTTGCAAGATTCATTCATAGTAAGTGCCTTATACAGGGGTACCATTTTTTTAAAATTTTACTTTAAGTTCTGGGATACATGTGCTGAATGTACAGGTTTGTTATATAGGTATACATGTGCCATGGTGGTTTGCCATACCCATCAAGCCATCATCTAGGTTTTAAGCCCTGCATGCATTAGGTATTTGTCCTAATGCTCTCCCTCCCCTTGTCCTCCACCCTCCAGCAGGCCCCAGTATGTGATGTTCCCCTCCCTGTGTCCATGTGTTATCATTGTTTAACTCCTACTTTTGAGTGAGAACATGCGGTGTTTGGTTTTCTGTTCCTGTGTTAGTTTGCTGAGAATGATGGTATCCAGCTTCATTCATGTATCTGCAAAGGACATGAACTCATTCTTTTTATGGCTTCATAGTATTCCATGGTGTATAAGTGCCACATTTTATTTATCCAGTCTATCATTGATGGGAATTTGGGTTGGTTCCAAGGCTTTGCTATTGTGAATAGTGCCGCAATAAACATACGTGTGCATGTGTCTTTATAGTAGAATGATTTATAGTCCTTTGGGTATATACCCAGGTATGGGATTGTTGGGTCAAATAGCATTACTGGTTCTAGAGCCTTGAGGAATCCCCGCACTGTCTTCCACAACGGTTGAACTGATTTACACTCCCACCAAGAGTGTAAAAGCATTCCTATTTCTCCACATCCTCTCCAGCATCTGTTGTTTCCTGAGTTTTTAATGATCGCCATTCTAACTGGCGTGAGATGGTATCTCATTGTGGTTTTGATTTCCACTTATCTAATGATCAGTGATGATGAGTCTTTTTTCATGTTTGTTGGAGCATAAATATCTTCTTTTGAGAAGTGTCTGTTCATATCTTTTGCTAACTTTTAGATAGGGTTGTTTTTTATTTGTACATTTGTTTAAGTTCCTTGTAGATTCTTGATAGTAGAGGATAGATTGCAAAAATTTTCTCCCATTCTGTAGGTTGTCTGTTCACTCTTATGGTAGTTTCTTTTGCTGAGGCCTAGCTCTTTAATTTAATTAGATCCCATTTGTCAATTTTGGCTTTTGTTGCAATTGCTTTTGTTGTTTTAGTCATGAAGTCTTTGCCCATGCCTATGTCCTAAATGGTATTGCCTAGGTTTTCTTCTAGCGTTTTTAAGATTTTACGTTTTATGTTTAAGTCTTTAATCCACCTTGAGTTAATTTGTGTATCAGGTGTAAGGAAGGAGTTCAGTTTCAGTTTTCCCAGCACTATTTATTAAAAAGGAAATCCTTTCCCCATTATTTGTTTTTGTCAGGTTTGTAGTAGATCAGATGGTTGTAGATGTGTGGTGTTATTTCTGAGGCCTCTGTTCTGTTCCATTGGTCTATATATCTGTTTTGGTACCAGTACCATGCAGTTTTGGTTAGCCTTACAGTATAGTTTGAAGTCAGGTAGTGTGATTGCTCCAGGTTTGTTCTTTTTGCTTAGGATTTTCCTGGCTATACAGGCTTTTTTTGTTTGTTTGTTTCATATGAAGTTTAAAGTAGTTTTTTCTAATTCAGTGAAGAAAGCCAATGTTAGCTTAATGAGAATAGCATTGAATCTATAAATTACTTTGGGCAGTATGGCCATTTTCATGATATTCTTTCTATCCATGAGCATGGAATTTTTTTTTCATTTGTTTGTGTCCTCTCTTATTTCCTTGAGCAGTGGTTTGTAGTTCTCATTGAAGAGGTCCTTCACATCCCTTTTAAGTTGTATACCTAGATATTTTATTCTCTTTGTCACAATTGTGAAAGGGAGTTCACTCATGATTTGACTCCATTATTGGTGTATTCGAATGCTTGTGATTTTTGCACATTGATTTTGTATCCTGAGACTTTGCTGAAGTTGCTTATCAGCTTAAGGAGTTTTGGGGCTGAGACTGTGGGGTTTTCTAAATATACAATAATGTCATCTGCAAACAGAGACAATTTGACTTCCTCTCTTCCTATTTGAATACCCTTTATTTCTTTCTCTTACCTGATTGCCCTCACCAGAGCTTCCAATACTATGTTGAATAGGAGTGGTGAGAGAGGACATCCTTGTCTTGTGCTGATTTTCAAAGGCAATGCTTCCAGCTTTTGCCCATTCAGTATGATATTGGCCTTGGGTTTGTCGTAAATAGCTCTTATTATTTTAAGATATGTTCCATCAATTCCAGCAATCTACAAATTCAATGCAGTCACCTAGCTTACTGAGAGTTTTTAGCATGAGGGGCCATTGAATTTTATCAAAGGCCTTTTCTGCATCTATTGAGATAATCACGTGGTTTTTGTCATTGGTTCTGTTTATGTGATGGATTATGTTTATTGATTTGTGAATGTTGAACCAGCCTTGCATCCCAGGGGTGAAGCCGACTTGATTGTGGTGAATAGCTTTTTGATGTGCTGCTGGATTTGGTTTGCCAGTATTTTATTGAGGATTTTCACATCGATGTTCATCAGGGATATTGGTCTAAAATTCTTTTTTTTGTTGTGTCTCTGCCAGGTTTTGGTATCAGGATGATGCTGGCCTCATAAAATGAGTTAGGGAGCAGTCCCTCTTTTTCTATTGTTTGGAATAGTTTCAGAAGTAATGGTACCAGCTCTTCTTTGTACCTCTGGTAGAATTTGGCTGTGAATCCATTTGATCCTGGGCTTTTTTATGGATAGTAGGCTATTAATTACTGCCTCAATTTCAGAACTTGCTATCGGTCTATTCAGGGATTCGACTTCTTCATGGTTTAGTCTTGGGAGGGTGTATGTGTCCAGGAATTTGTCCATTTCTTCTAGATTTTCTAGTTTATTTGCATAGAGGTGTTTATAGTATTCTCTGATGGTAGTTTGTATTTTTGTGAGACCAGTGGTGATATCCCCTGTATTATTTTTTATTGTGTCTATTTGATTTTTCTCTTTGTTCTTTATTAGTCTGGCTAGTGGTCTGTGTATTTTGTTAATCTTTTCAAAAAACAAGCTCCTGGATTCACTGATTTTTATTGAAGGGTTTTTCATATCTCTAACTCCTTCAGTTCTGCTCTCATCTTACTTATTTCTTGTCTTCTGCTAGCTTTTGAATTTGCTTACTCTTGCTTCTCTAGTTCTTTTAATTGTGATGTTAGGGTGTTGATTTTAGATCTTTCCCACTTTCTGATGGGAGCATTTAGTGCTATAAATTTTTCTCTTAATATTGCTTTAGTTGTGTCCCAGAGATTCTGGTACGTTGTGTCTTTGTTCTCATTGGTTTCAAAAAACTCTTTTATTTCTCCCTTAGTTTTCTTATTTACTCAGTAGTCATTGAGGAGCAGGTTGTTCAGTTTTTGTGTGGTTGTGTGGTTTTGAGTGAGTTTCTTAATCCTGAGTTCTAATTTGATTGCACTGTGGTCTGAGAGACTGTTATCATTTCTGTTCTTTTGCATTTGCTGAGAAGTGTTTTGCTTCCAATTATGTGGTTGATTTTAGAATAAGTGCTATGTGGTGCTGAGAAGAATGTATATTCTGTTGATTTGGGGTGGAGAGTTCTGTAGATGTCTCTTAGGTTCACTTGGTCTAGAGCTGGGTTCATCTGTTTTGTTGATCTGTGTAATATTGACAGTGGGGGTGTTAAAGTCTCCCACTTTTATTGTGTGGGAGTCTAATTCTCTTTTCAGGTCTCTAAGAACTTGTTTCATGAATCTGGATGCTCCTGTATTGGGTGCATATATATTTAGGATAGTTAGCTCTTCTTGTTGCATTGAGCTGTTTGCCATTATGTAATGCCCTTCTTTGTCTTTTTTGATCTTTTTTGGTTTAAAGTCTGTTTTATCAGAGACTAGGATTGCAACCCCTGCTTTTTTCTTGCTTTCCATTTGCTTGGTAAATATTCCTCCATCCCTTTATTTTGAGTCTGTGTGTGTCTTTGTATGTGAGATGGGTCTTCTGAATACAGCATACTGATGGGTCTTGACCCTTTATCCAATTTGCCAGTCTGTGTCTTTTAATTGGAGCATTTAGCCCATTTGCATTTAAGGTTAATATTGTTATGTGTGAATTTGATTCTGTCATCATGATGCTAGCTGGTTATTTTGCATATTAGTTGATGCAGTTTCTTCATAGTGTCATTGGCCTTTATATTTTGGTGTGTTTTTGCAGTGGCTGGTACTGGTTTTTCCTTTCCATATTTAGTGCTTCCTTCAGGAGCTCTTGTAAGGCAGGCCTGGTGGTGACAAAATCCCTCAGCATTTGCTTGTCTGTGAAGGATTTTATTTTTCCTTCACTTATGAAGCTTAGTTTGGCTGGATATGAAATTCTGGGTTGAAAATTGTTTTGTTTAAGAATGTTGAATATTGGCCCCCACTCTTTCCTGGTTTGTCGGATTCCTGCAGAGAGATCCGCTGTTAGTCTGATGGGCTTCCCTTTGTTGGTAACCTGACCTTTCGCTCTGGCTGCCCTTAACATTTTTCCCTTCATTTCAACCTTGGAGAATCTGACGATTATGTGTCTTGGGGTTGCTATTCTGGAGGAGTATCTTCATGCTGTTCTTTGTATTTCCTGAATTTGAATGTTGGCCTGTCTTGCTAGGTTGGGAAATTTCTCCTGGATAATATCCTCAAGAGTGTTTTCCAACTTGGTTCTATTCTGTTCATACTTCAGGTACAACAATCAGTCGTAGGTTTGGTCTTTTCACATAGTCCCATATTTCTTGGATACTTTGTTCATCCTTTTCATTCTTTTCTCTCTAATCCTGTCTTCACACCTTATTTCATTAAGTTGATCTTCAATCTCTGATATCCTTTTTTTCTGCTTGATCAATTCGGCTATTGATACCTGTTTATGTTTCATGAAGTTCTCATGTTGTGTTTTTCAGCTCCATCAAGTCATTTATGTTCTTCTCTAAACTGGTTATTCTAGTTAGCAGTTCCTGCAACATTTTATCAAGGTTCCTAGCTTGCTTGCATTGGGTTAGGACATGCTCCTTTAGCTCAGAGGCATTTGTTATTACCCATCTTCTGAAGCCTACTTTTGTCAGCTCATCAGTCTCATTCTCCATCTACTTTTGTGCCCTTGCTGGAGAGGAGTTGCGATCATTTGGAGGAGAAGAGGCATTCTAGTTTTTGGAATTTTTAGCATTTTGCATTGTTTTTTCCTCATCTTTGTGGATTTATTTACCTTTGATCTTTGAGGCTGATGACCTTTGGATGGGATTTTTTCTTTTGTGGGGGTCCTTTTTGTTGATGTTGATGTTCTTGCTTTCTGTTTGTCAGTTTTTCTTCTAACAGTCAGGCCTCTTCTGCAGATCTTCTGGAGTTTGCTGGAGGCCCACTTCAGACACAGGGGTACCATTTTAAAATCTTTTATCCTTTTTCTTCTTTCTTTTTTTTTGGAGAGGTGGAGTCTCACTACATTGCCCAGCCTGGTCTCAAATATACCATATTTTTACTGCACCTTTTCTATATTTAAATACATAAATATTTACCATTGTGTTACAATTGCCTACAGTATTCAGTACAGTCACATGCTGTACAGGTTTGTAGCCTAGAAGCAATAGGTTATACCATATAGCCCAGGTGTGTAGTAGGCTATACCATCTAGGTTTATGTAAGTACATGCTATCATGTTAACCCATGATGAAATTGCCTAATGATTCGTTTCTCAGAATATATCCTTAAGTAATGCATGTGTGTAAGAGGAAAATTTTAACACACCTTTCACAGTAAATGATACAGTGATACGTTCACAATTCTTTGGGATTTTGGCAATTTGGATGACACAGTTAACAAAATTGACCTAGTGACATCTATAGATGACCATATCCTGAGTGTAGAATATATAATCTTTTAAATCTTACATAGATTTACAAAAAGTTGACAAGTTTTGTTTCAAAGGATTGAAATAATATACTGTATGTTTTCTGATAGGTGGGAATTAGAGTTCAACAATAAATGATAAATGATAAAATAATGCAACTATTTTAAAATTCAACATGTAGAGAAATTGGGTAAGACCTCTCTTAATAAGCAGTGGATCAAAAAATCACTATAATAATTAGAAAGCATTTTGAATAAAAACAATAACACTTTCGGTTATCCTTTGTAGGTTACAACTAGAGAAATTGATGGTGTAAAATTATACATTACAAAAGAAGAAGAGCTGAAAGGTATAGTACTAAACAACCATTAACAGACATTTGAAGAAATGA
This sequence comes from Homo sapiens, assembly GCF_000001405.40. NCBI lineage: Eukaryota > Metazoa > Chordata > Mammalia > Primates > Hominidae > Homo > Homo sapiens. The sequence continues at coordinate 101,429 of NW_019805498.1, forward strand.
ATTCCAAGAATGAGAGGTAAATAATTAAACTAAGAACAAACTACAATAGAAAGCCTCAATTAGACATAGATGTAAAAGCTGTATATAAAATATTAGAAAAATCAACTCCAGAAATACATTAAAAAACATATGATCAATTGGGTTTGTGTCTATGGTGAAATTTAGATTTAGTATTAAAAATGTATTAAAGTTTGTTACCACATTAACAAATAATGTACTTAGTAGAGCACAGTAAAAAATTTGATAAAATTCAATATTCAGTGGTGATAAAAATGAGTAAACTACAATGCCATCCCCATCAAGCTACCAATGACTTTCTTCACAGAATTGGAAAAAACTAAAGTTCATATCGAACCAAAAAAGAGTCTGCATTGCCAAGTCAATACTAAGCCAAAAGAACAAAGCTGGAGGCATCACGCTACCTGACTTCAAACTATACTACAAGGCTACAGTAACCAAAACAGCATGGTATTGGTACCAAAACAGAGGTATAGATCAATGGAACAGAACAGAGCCCTCAAAAATAATGCCGCATATCTACAACTATCTGATCTTTGACAAAGCTGACAAAAACAAGCAATGGGGAAAGGATTCCCTATTTAATAAATGGTGCTGGGGAAACTGGCTAGCCATATGTAGAAAGCTGAAACTGGATCCCTTCCTTACACCTTATACAAAAATTAATTCAAGATGAATTAAAGACTTAAATGTTAGACCTAAAACCATAAAAACCCTAGAAGAAAACCTAGGCAATACCATTCAGGACATAGGCAAGGGCAAGGACTTCATGTCTAAAACACCAAAAGCAATGTCAGCAAAAGCCAAAATTGACAAATGGGATCTCATTAAACTAAAGAGCTTCTGCACAGCAAAAGAAACTACCATCAGAGTGAACAGGCAACCTACAGAATGGGAGAAAATTTTTGCAATCTACTCATCTGACAAAGGGCTAATATCCAGAATCTACAATGAACTCCAACAAATTTACAAGAAAAAACAAACAACCCCATCAAAAAGTGGGCAAAGGATATGAGCAGACACTTCTCAACAGAAGACATTTATGCAGCCAAAAGACACATGAAAAAATGCTCATCATCACTGGCCATCAGAGAAATGCAAATCAAAACCACAATGAGATACCATCTCACACCAGTTAGAATGGTGATCATTAAAAAGTCAGGAAACAACAGGTACTGGAGAGGATGTGGAGAAATAGGAACACTTTTACACCATTGGTGGGACTGTAAATTAGTTCAACCATTGTGGAAGTCAGTGTGGCAATTGCTCAGGGATCTAGAACTAGAAATACCATTTGACCCAGCCATCCCATTACTGGATATATACCCAAAGGATTATAAATCATGCTGCTATAAAGACACATGCACTTGTATGTTTATTGTGACACTATTCACAATAGCAAAGACTTGGAACCAAGCCAAACGTCCAACAATGATAGACTGTATTCAGAAAATGTGGCACATATACACCATGGAATACTATGCAGCCATAAAAAAACGATGAGTTCATGTCCTTTGTAGGGACATGGATGAAGCTGGAAAACATCATTTTGAGCAAACTATCACAAGGACAAAAAGCCAAACACCACATGTTCTCACTCATAAGTGGGAATTGAACAATGAGAACACATGGACACAGGAAGGGGAACATCACACACTGGGGACTGTTGTGGGGTGGGGGGAGGGGGGAGGGAGAGCATTAGGAGTTAAATGACGAGTTAATGTTAATGTTAATGTTAAATGACGAGTTAAATGTTAAATGACGAGTTAATGGGTGCAGCACACCAACATGGCACATGTATACATATGTAACTAACCTGCACGTTGTGCACATGTACCCTAAAACTTAAAATATAATAAAAAAATGAGTAAACTATTAACATAAAGAAATTCCCTTATTTTGATAAAGGTTCCATCAAATATACCTGGTAGTTAGAAAACATTAAAAAATTACAATAGCATATAAATAATAACTATTTTGAATAAATCTAACAGAACCTTTGTAAGAATGTAAAGGGATAATTATAATGCTTTACTCACGGACACTAAAGACGTAAATAAATGGAGGGATAATATGTTCATGATTTGGCAGTCTTGTGGGATATAGATTGATTCCAATCACAATAAAAATTGCAACCATTTTTAAAAACATTTTATCTTTATACAGCAGTTTTAGGTTCACAGCAAAATTGAGAGGAAGGTATTTCATATTTCCCCTGCCTCCACATATAATTGCCTTCCTCATTATCAACACCCCCAAACAGAGTGGTAAATATGTTACAATTGATGAACTTACATTGACATATTATTATCACTCAGAATCCACAGCTTACACTAGGGTTCACTCTTGGTGTTATACATTCTATGAGTTTAGATCAATGTATAATGACGTATATTCACCATTATAGTATAATACAGAATAGTCTCACTGTCCTAAAAGTCCTCTGTGCTCTGCCTAATTATCCCTCCTTCCACCCAACTCCTGGAAACCACTGATATTTTTATTATTCCTGTAATTTGGCCTTTTCCAGAATATCATATGGTTGGAATCATACAATATGCAGCCTTTTCAGATTGGTTTCTTTCACTAAGTAATGTGCAAATATTTTAGGTTCCTCCATGTCTCTTCATGGTATGATGATAGCTCATTTCATCTTGGCATTGAATAATATTCTATGGTCTGGATGTACCACAGTTTATCCATTCACCTATTGAAGGACATCTTGGTTGCTTCCAAGTTTTGGCAATTATGATTCAGGCTGCTATAAACATTTGTGTGCAAGTTTTTGTGTGGACATGAGTTTTCAACTTCTTTGGTTAAGTACCAGGGAGCACATTGCTGGAGCAGGCACTAAGAGTATATTTGATTTTGTAAGAAACTACCAAGCTGTCTTCCAAAGCGGCTGTACCATTTCCTATTCCCACCAGCACTGAGTGAGAACTTCTGTTGCTCTACATCCTCACCAGCAACTAACTGGTGTTGCAAGTGTTCTGGATTTTAGCCATTCTAATAGGTGTGTAGTGGTATCTCATTCTTTGAATTTGCATTTCCCTGATGACATGTGACATGCAGCATCCTCTCATATGTTTATTTGTCATCTGCATATCTTATTAGGTGAGGTGTCCAGGTATTTGGCCCATTTTTAATTGCATTGTTTGATTCTTTATTGTTAACTTTGAGTACTTTGTATATTTTGGATAACAGTTGTGGAGATAAAGCAACTACATCTTGAATGCTAATTTGCCATGTTGACTTTTGATTAACCCTGGTTCTAAGAAGGCCTCTTAAGATTTCCAGTTTATCTATTGCTCCCTAGGTAAGAGTGTGTAAATCCTGCCTTTAGGTCAAAACAACCTTCATGTCATCGTACTTCAGTTGTCCTACACATCTCTTCTGAATCATGTATTTCCCTTCCCTATGGTATACACCTCTGGATCTAGGGGAAAAAGGCATGGGATCCACCATCTGGTCTCGTTTCCACTGAGGCACAACATGGCTACATGGTTTCTAAGTCCCTATTAAATGTTTCTTTTTAAGAAACTGGATTTGTCAACCACTTTCTTCTGCCCCTTCAGCTTCCTTGGACTTTGGGGTCAGTTTGCATAGATCTGCCCACTCCAGAACAAAAGTCTTTTATCAGTTATGTCTTTTGCAAGTATTTTCTAACAGTGTATGTCTTGCCTTCTCATTCTCTTGAACGATAGGTTTTTTTTTTCTAAAACTTGGCAAGCTGGTCTTAAAATTTACATAATTGGTCAAAAAAATGGGAACACTTAAAAAAAAGAAGGAGGACTTACTGTAACAATATCAAGATAAATCTATGGTAAACAAGATATATTTGTATTGATACAGGAATAAATAAATAGATAAATGAATAAAATAGAGGCTCTGGAAATAGGCATACACACCTTGACTTATGAAAGACAGACTGCAGAACTGTGGATAAAGATGGACTTTTAAATAAATAAATTATTTCAATCCCCAGATGGCTATCCATATGGTCAAATATGCTTTTCTATTCACAAAAATCAATTCCAAGTAGATTTAAAACCTCAATATGATGAGCGAAATTATAAAGTTTTTAGAAGAGAATACTGGAAAAAATTGTCATGGATTTCAGATCAATAAAGACATTAAAAGAGACATAAAGTGCACAAACTCCAAAGGAAAAAATTAGACCATAGTAATATTTAATTATTCTGTTTATTATCATTAAATAAATATGCCATGAGGAAATTAACAAGGTTACCTACTGTATTATTTGGGCTCTCTAGAGAAATAGAATCAATATGAGATGTATATGTCTGTATAATATACCATATATATGTGAGATATATACACACACACGTATACACACACATATACAATAAGGAATTGGCTCCTGTGATTCCCAGTGTCTCAGAAGTCCCAAGATCTGCAGTCAGCAAGGTGGAGATTGAGAAGAGCTAAGGGTATCGTTCCAGTGCAAGTCCAAAGGCCTAAGAACCAGCAGAGGTGACGGTGTAAGTCCTAGTCTAAATTCAAGTCAGGAAAAGGAGAAGACCAATGTTCCAGCTGAAGACAGTCTGACAGAGAGAGTGAATGCTGCCTCTCTCAACCTTTTTATTCCATTCAGGCCTTCAACAGATTAAATGAGGCTCACCCACATTGGTGAAGGCAGTTTGCCTTACTCAGTCTACCCGTTTGAATGTTCATCTCACTGAAAAACGCCTTCACAGTCACCCCCAGAATAACGTTAAACCAAAGATCTGTGCACCTTGTGGCCCAATCAAATTGACATATAAAATTAACCATCACAGTACAGAGTGGTAGAAGATATTCACAATACACATAAACCAGGAGATTCATATTCAGAATATATAAAAGTCTTTTGCAAATTAACCTTAAAAATACAGACAACGAAATAGAAAATTTGGAAAATGATTTCACAATAGAGGGTGTCCAAATGGTCAGTAAATGTTTGAGAAGGGGCTCAACCTCATTAGTAGTTCAGGAAATTTAAAATTGAACCACAATGAGAGAATGATGGTGAGATGAAATCACAAATGTGTCACCTGTGTCAGTCTCCTGATGCTTTTTAAATCCTAGGGCTCTTGTTCCTTACAGTTTAATTAATAAGTATCACAGGTAGGTGTGTAGGACTTCACTGAGACACATCCATATACCTAGAGATGTATAATAGATTGAGTAACTTTATTTACATCATGATTTCTAATTTTAAAATAATTTTTAAGAAGTTGGTAGTCAAGTGGCCCAGACTAAAGCTATGCTAAGAAAAATGCCTCTCAAATTTAATATGCAGGTGAACTACTTGGAAATCTCATTGAAATGCAGTTTGTGATTGATACTGTAAGTCTAGAGTGAAACCTGTTATTTTGCGTCTAACAAGCTCCCAGGTTGCCTATGGCACAGGTGAAGTGTTGCAGCTACTGCCAGCTGATGGGCCATGTTTTGAGAAGATGCTAAGGGGTTTCCCTGGGCTGCCCCAGCAGAGGGTAATTGCAGACAGCTGAATGTGGCCAAAGGTTTATAAGCACTCAAGGAACCCCCAGCTCCTTGCCATTTCTTGTTTTCTATGTTGTGTCTTGGAGTCTGGAGCAATGAAGACCTCTGTGCTCTTAGGTAGGTCCTTCCTCTTTTCTTTATTGTTTTGGAATTCTTCTGGATTCAACCCAGGTATGCATAAGAAATATCTTCAGAGGTGGTGATTTAAACTGATAAGATTACTTTCTAAAACACTGCTGTGTAAAAAGCTGAGATTTTTTTTTTTCCCCCTGATTATAAACCAACAGGTAGGGCTGCCTGTTTCTATTACTCAGTTAAGAAAAAATTACTCTTTCTGGTCACATAAACTGTGCTCAGTCTTCTTTCTCTATAAGCCAATTTGAAAGTTCTCCAGTTTTAGTTTATCTTATGCCATTATCCCTCTTCTAATGTGAGACCCATGTTTCTAACATAACTGGGGCTCCTATAATTTGAAAGAACCAGGGAAAGGAAGGACTACCTTAGAGATCTCTGGGTTTCTGGGGAGGATTACAGGCTCTCTTGGCCTATCCATGGTGCTGGAGAGATAGAATGAAAATTATATAGAGAGTAAGCAGCTGAATTTGGATGAGTTCTAATTGCTTCCTCTATATACTGAAGTTTGGGAAACAGTTGAGCCCCAGCATTGTACTTGTTAGCTGCATGAACTTGGGCAAGTTACTTTTGAAGTCTCTCTAATTTTGGCTGCCAGGAAAAAATTACTAGGAATGTATAGTGTCTTAAAATAAGATGATGAGAGGCCCCGTGAAATGAAAACACTCAAATCTTAGTGCTGGAATTACCGTGAGGTAATGAGAGAATAGTTGTTTGGTTCAGTGCGCCAGAGTGATGTCGGCTGCGTCTAATGTCAGTGTGAGAGGTTTGCCAAATAAAGCAGCCTATGGACTTTCTCCTGTTTCTGTAACCATGCACTGGTTCTCTTCCACCTTTACATTAGAATACTGGTTCTCAGCGGGTGGTTTTGCCCTCCAGGGGACATTTGGCAATGTTTAGAGGGATTTTTGGCTGTCACAACAGCGTTTGTCACTCGTATCTAGTGGATAGTGGTCAAGAATGCCACTACACATTCTGCAATGTATAGCCAACAACCACAAAATCTCTTTGGTTATAATCTCAGTGAGGCTGAGTTGAGAAACCCAGCCTTGTGTTTTATTTTAGCTTAGAAGCACTTTAAGGCACATATTTGTGAGACCCCTTTTCTAAGCAAAACCAGTGCCAGACCTGAAACCAGCTGAAACCACTGCTGCGTTTCACATAATCTTGATTTCTAACAACCGAAGCTAATGACCGCCTCTTTGTACTTCTCAGAGTGAATAAGATTTGTGGGGGGCTACCCAGTATCAAATCTCAAACCTGCGATTACCTTTCTCATAATCAGACTTGGCTTCTCTGTTACACCTGAGTTTGTTTGATCTTTCTTTGAGATTTCAATGCCTTAATGTCTTTTTTGTATGTGGGTCTTTCTCTATTACCATTCCCTGAGACCAAAATTAGGGTATGTAGTTAAGGATGAAATTGAGAACTAAGTGTACTTTAGTCACATTAGACGAATCTAGGGAAACTTAGGGAGTAAAATGAGTTAAAAACCTAGTGCCTGTAGGCCGGGTGCAGTGGCTCACGCCTGTAATCTCAGCACTATGGGAAGCCGAGGCAGGCAGATCACATGAGGTCAGGAGTTCGAGACCAGCCTGACCAATATGGCGAAACCCCGTCTCTACTAAACAAAAAAATACAAAAATTAGTCGGGCATGGTGGTGCGTGCCTGTAATCCCGACTACTCAGGAGGCTGAGGCAGGAGAATCACTTGAACCTGAGAGGCAGAGGTTGCAGTGAGCTGAGATTGCGCCATTGCACTCAAGCCTGGGCGACAGAGCGAGACTCTTTCTCAGAAAAAAAATAAAAAAAAATAACCTAGTGCCTGTAATCCCAACACTTTGGGAGGCCTAGGCAAGAAGATCGCTTGAGCTCAGGAGTTCCAGACCAGACTGGGCAACGTGGTGAAACCCCATCTCTACTAAAAATACAAAAATTAGCCAGGTGTAGTGGTGCATGTGTGTCCGGAATTGGTGGGTTCTTGGTCTGACTTCAAGAATGAAGCCGCGGACCCTCGCGGTGAGTGTTACAGTTCTTAAAGGTGGCGTGTCCGGAGTTTGTTCCTTCTGATGTTCGGATGTGTTCGGCGTTTTCTTCCTTCTGGTGGGTTCGTGGTCTCGCTGGCTCAGGAGTGAAGCTGCAGATCTTCGCGGTGAGTATTAGAGCTCTTAAGGCAGCGCGTCTGGAGTTGTTTGTTCCTCCTGGTGGGTTCGTGGTCTGGCTGGCTTCGGGAGCGAAGCTGCAGACCTTCGCATGAGTGTTACAGCTCATAAAGGCAGTGTGGACCCAAACAGCTGCAGCAAGATTTATTGCAAAAAGCCAAAGAATAAAGCTTCCACAGTTTGGAAGGAGACCCCCAACGGGTTGCCAGTGCTGGTTCAGGCAGCCTGCTTTTATTCCCTTATCTGGCCCCACCCACATCCTGCTGATTGGTCCATTTTACAGAGAGCTGACTGGTCCGTTTTGACAGGGTGCTGATTGGTGCGTTTACAATCCCTGAGCTAGACACAAAAGTTCTCCACATGCCCACTAGATTAGCTAGATACAGAGTGTGGACACAAAGGTTCTCCAAGTCCCCACCAGAGTAGCTAGATACAGAGTGTGGACTGGTGCATTCACAAACGCTGAGCTAGACACAGGGTGCTGATTGGTGTGTTTACAAACCTTGAGCTAGATACAGAGTGCCGATTGGTGTATTTACAATCCCTTAGCTAGACATAAAGATTCTCCAAGTCCCTACCAGACTCAGGAGCCCAGTTGGCTTCACCCAGTGGATCCCATACCGGGGCTGCAGGTGGAGCTGCCTGCCAGTCCCATGCAGTGTGCCCGCACTCCTCAGCCCTTGGATGGTGGATGGGACTGGGCACCCTGGAGCAGGGGGCCCCCGCTTGTTGGGGAGGCTCCTGCCGCTGCAGGAGCCCACGGTGGGGGAGGAGGCTCAGGCATGGCGGGCTGCAGGTCCCCAGCCCTGCCCCGCCAGGAGGCAGATAAGGCCTAGCGAGAAGTCGAGCACAGCAGCTGCTGGTCCAGGTGCTAAGCCCCTCACTGCCCGGGTGGGGGCGGGGGCCAGCCGGCGGCTCCGAGTGTGGGGCAGCGGAGCCCACGCCCACCCAGAACTTGCGCTGGCCTGCAAGCACAGCGAGCAGCCCCGGTTCCCGCCGGCGCCTCTCCCTCCACACCTCCCCGCAAGCTGAGGGAGCTGGCTCTGGCCTTGGCCAGCCCAGAAAGGGGCTCCCACAGTGCAGCGGCGGGCTAAAGGGCTCCTCAAGCGGCCAGAGTGGGCGCCAAGGCCGAGGAGGCGTGGAGAGCGAGCGAGGGCTGTGAGGGCTGCCAGCACGCTGTCACCTCTCACATGCTTGTAGTTCCAGCTACTCCAGAGGCTGAGGCAGAAGAATCACTTGAACCCAGGAGGTGGAGGTTGCAGTGAGCTGAGATCTCACCACTGCACTCCAGCTTGGACGACAGAGGGAGACTCCATCTTTCAAAACAAAACCTAGCTCCTGCTCCCAGAGTACTACCAATCTATTTTTTATGGCATTTTTGTAACTGTGGTCTAGCCATAATGCTTGGCACACACAACGTCTTCCATCCTTGCACTGGAAAGTATTAGTTATATAAAAATTGAATGAATGGCTATGTGAAAGAAATCTGGCCTCTCATCTATCCTTCTCTTCACATGTTTTTACCTGCTTTTATTATATTCAGTGGTCATCTTGCAGCTCTGAATGTTGGTACCTCTTAGACCAGTTCTCAAACTTTGTATATGTAAGTCATCTTGTTATTAAAATGCAAACCGAGTCAATAGGTTAGAGATGAGATCTGGAACTCAGTATTTCTAATGAGTTCTAAGGTGATGTTGATGTTACTGATTTGTGGACCAGACTTTGATTAGTAAGGCTATAAACAAATTACTCACCAACTAGCATTATTAATAGAGAATAGAGAATTCTCTGTGAATAGAGAATAATTAACTGAAACCTGAGTCAGGCACTTACTGTTATTCTAATTCTCACTTTTTCACTCCTACCTCTCCTAAGACACAGATGTTCAGTGGACAAAGAAGACACTGTTTAGATTGCAGCAATGACTGAGTTGACTACTGATGGCCTAGATCACTGTCTGATTGGTATTAGGGCCAGCCACGTTATGTACCGGACTTAAGATTCTTCAAGTAATTTAATGGTTTGAGCATTTAATTTCTTATCTGGAAAATGAAGACATTATCTGTCCTATCTCAGGTTTTCTTTGTTAGACTCAATAACAAGAACATAGGCCGGGTGCCATGGCTCACGCCTGTAATCCCAGCACTTTGGGAGGCTAAGGTGGGGGTGGATCACCTGAGGTCAGGAGTTTGAGACCAGCCTGGCCAGCCTGGCGAAACCCTGTCTCTGCTAAAAATACAAAAAGTAGCTGGGTGTGGTGGCACATGCCTGTAGTCCTAGCTACTCAGGAGGCTGAGACAGGAGAATCACTTGAACCCAGGAGGTGGAGGTTGCAGTGAGCCAAGATCCTGCCACTGCACTCCAGCCTGGGTGACAAAGCAAGACTCTATCTCCAAAAAAAAAAAAAAAAAAAAAAGAATGTGGTGAAATTTGACCTAGGAATTGGTACATAAACAGCAGAACTTCTTATTTAATGTGACAATAAATGTGGGAATCCCCATGGGAACAGGCTTGTGGTCTAACATATTAACCCCTCAATGACAGCCTGGCCCTGCAAGCTTTGCTTTTTAAGATAAATATATCTATCCTTGGGATACAAACAGAAAATACATAGGCTACAGCTCCTTTCTTAGTCTGAATAAAAGGAGGGACTTGATAGTAATTACAATTCCCGTTTCGACATGGACCAAGAAGGACATTGTACCATAGTCCTGCTGCTATGAGGTAAGTGGATTGCAGATTTTTTTTCATCCTCACCCTAAACTTCACTTCTGCAGCTGTCATCACTGTATTTACTATCAGTATCTATCAACTTTCTTATATGAATAACTTATGCTATTAATCTCTCTAGGAAAATGGTTTCTCAAAATTCTAAATGCTGAGTTCCATGTTGTACTTGCGTCTCTGTTCTTCTAGCTGTCCCAAAAAGCATGTATCAAGTTGGTAACCTCAGGTTTCTAGGCCAAATAAGGCTCATTCTAAGCCAAACATTTTACGGAAGACAGAGTTCTGTAGATCCTTGGATACTGCCAACTGTCCTGGGATTAAAACCTGGGTCAATGTCTTCTGTGGTTGGACTAGTCACTTATTTAATTAAAATTCATACTGAAGACCAAATACATGCCATATGGGGATAAAGAGATGAAGATGTGGTTTTTTTTTTTTCCCCTAGGGGTGGGGAGAGATAATAGTAAAATGTGAAATGTCACTGTGTGCCTGATATTGTAAAAATGTTCCTAGGATATAGCCACAGCTTCTTCAGGTTAATATGAGAAGATTGGACTCTGAAACCTAATCTTTTATATAGTATTAAATTCTGATCAGGTTTAGTTTAATTGATACTGAGGATGGATGGATGGAGATCTATCTCTATGGAAGGAATTGGTGGTGGTAGTGTCTTATATAAAGACCATTAAATTGTTTTTACCTTAATAAACATTAATTGAGCATTTAAGTTCTAGGCAGTGTTCCAAGATCTTTTATATGCCTTATTTCATTTAATCATCACAGAACCCTAAAAGGTAGATAATAATGACTACGTTCACTCTAAATATGAATAAATGGTTGCAAAGAAATTAAATAACCAACTAACCTCTCTGTGGATTTTTGCAGCTGTGTAAAGTACAGAGTAGCACAGCAGCCACCGCCCTCAAGGGGCTTTTGAGCACATGAAGTGTGGCCAATTTGAATTGTGCTACAAATACAAAACACACATCAGTTCCAGAAAATTAGTATAAGAAATCTAATCTCAATTTTTGTTTTGTTACATGTTAATGATCATATTTGGGATATATTAGCTTAGATGAAATATATTTTAAACTATACCTGCTTTTTTAAATTTTAATTTTAATGTCTTTTTTTGAGATGGGGGTCTCACTCTGTTGCCCAGGCTGGAGTGCAGTGGCATGGTCTCGACTCACTGCAGCCTCTGCCTCCTGGGCTCAAGCAATTCTCCCACCTCAGTCTCCCAAGTAGCTGGGATTACAGGGGCACGCCACCATGCTTGGATAATTTTTGCATTTTTAGTAGAGATGGGTTTCACCATGTTGGCCAGGCTGGTCTTGAACTCCTGACCTCAGGTGATCCACCTGCCTCGGCCTCCCAGAATGCTGGGATTACAGGCATGAGCCACTGTGCCTGGCCTATACCTGCTTATTTTTGAACATGGCTAATAGGAGACTGAACGCTACCCATGTAGCTTGTGTTATATTTGTCTGTCAGCACTGATAGTGTAATGTCTTGGGAGGAAGTATACTACCATATTACTTTTTGGATTTTTTTTCTTTTAGCAATAACTGCAATGTGCTCTGATGATTGGTTGTTAGTCAGAATGAAAATAAGGCCTTTTGATAAGAACACAGACATTAGAATTGGCGACATACACCTGAGAGATAACTGTCCTGTAACAAGACTGTTGTCATTTAACTACGCGTTTTCTTATCCTGTCACTTCTTGTGGGATCAAGAAAATTGTAAGTGCCATGATGCTTTTCCCTAAAACATATACTGAATTTTTTTTTCAGGGCTACATAGTATCAAAAGTTCCTTCCTAATTAAAATTTTCAAGCATCTTCCTATCTCTTGCAGTGATCAATTGTTAGATAGGACCAGGTGCTTATCTACTTAATTGGGACATTTCAGATAAGGGACTTTAAAAAGGTCATAAGGGGCTGGGCATGGTGGCTCACACCTGTAATCCCACCACTTTGGGAGGCTGGGGTGGGTGGATCACCTGAAGTCAGGAGTTTGAGACCAACCTGGTCAACATGGTTAAACCCAGTCTCTGCTAAAAATACCAAATTTAGCTGGGTGTGGTGGTGGGTACCTGTAATCCCAGCTATTTGGGAGGCTGAGGCAGGAGAATCACTTGAACCTGGGAGGCAGAGGTTGTAGTGAGCTGAGATGGCACTATTGCACTCCAGCCTGGGTGATAAGTGAAACTCTGTCTCAAAGTCATAAGGTACGGTCTGTGCCTTCTCAGTTTTACTACCTCCATCTGCTGTCAGATTTTAATAGCTGGGAACATTGTTTATGAATATATGCAATTGTACTACTTTGGAAAAAGCACATATACTTTAAAACAGACCCAGAGACAATTTTCTCCTATCCCCCATCTGGTATTAGAGATGGGGGCAAAGAAGTTGAAGGACCAGGAGAAAAAGGAGAATAAAGTATTTCTCATGAGGTCTACTATTTTATATCTGTTAAATTAATGTAAAATGCCATTTCCGGATTTTCCTAAAGCAGATTCTATTAAGATCATTAAGCCACCAAAAGAATTTAATGCCTTCTAGTATTAAAACTCTCAATTGTTTCAGATGTTCCAAACAAATGATGACGCCATATTATCAGAGATCAGTTACAAACCAAGGTTGCATACTACCTATGAATTTCCAGTGGTTTGCTTTGTGAAGAGGTATGAGTAGCTACTTCTCTTACACATTCTTAAATTTATTATTTGGTTGATAGATGTTTCTGTTAAGAATGCAGCTATAAAAATGCCCTGGAGGGATGTGTATGGCATAAATTTCTAAAGTTTCTCTAACTCTAAGGAAAATGTTCAAATGTACAGAATTGAAGGAATTTATATATAGTACCTAGATTCTACCATTTTGCTAAACTTTGTTACACAATCATTTCCCCATCTATCAATTTTGATGCACTTCCAATTGAAGACATGAGTACACTTTTCCCTAAGTGCTTCAGCATGCGTATCATGAATCAAGGATCAATAATTTACTTGAAGAAGAACTCACATGCAATTAATATATAAATGTTACACAAGTTAATGCATTTGTCAACTGAGCTTTATGTTTAACATAAAACCCTATTGACATGAGTAAGACTGATTGCTGCAGAAAGTGGATCTTCCCAGTTGGTTCCTGCAGCCACACCTCACTGTTCTTGTCTCTTCTATAACTTTGTAGAAATAGAATCGCAGCATGTATGCTTTTGTGTCTAGCTTATTTCTTTCAGCAGAATGTTTGAAACTCGTTTATGTTGTATATTCCAGTAGCTTGTTTCTTTATATTGCCGAGTGGTATATTTCATTAGATACGTATTATTTGATGAAGACTTGTGCTGTTTTCAGTCTCTGGCTATTATGAATAAATATGCTATCACCATATGTTTGCATATCTTTGGGTGTATGTTTTTGTTTCCTTTAAATACCTAAGAATGGGACTGCTTGATCATAGAGTATGTTTAGTTTTGTAAGAAATGATGAATATTTTCCCAAAATAAGGTGTCCTTTTTGGCACTAATACGAGGAATGTATGGGAGTCCAGTGGTTTCACCCTCTGATGTCAGTTTTTTATTCTAACCATCTGAATAGGTGCATAGTCATATTTAATTTGCATTTTCTGATAACTAATTATTAGTGCTCATTGGCCATTTTTATGTCTCTTGTGAGCCATGTCTTTTGTTCATTTTTACTCTGCATCATCTGTCTTGAGTTGTAAGTGGTCTTCATATCTTAAAGACCAGGACTTTGTCAGATGTATTTCGCCCCAGTCCCCACATTGCTTATTAATTTTCTTAATGTGTTTTTTGATGAGCAGACGTCTTTAATTTTGGAGTTTAATTTATAGACTCTTCCTTCTAGTTATTGCTTTCTGTTCTGTCGTAAAATTCCTTGCTATTGCCAAGTGTTATTTTCTTCTAGAAGTTTTATGGTTTTGAATATATTTGGGTTTATAATCCATCTGAACTTAATTTTTGCATGTAGTGTAAGAAAGGTCAAGATTCTTCCCTCTCCATAGGGACATCCTGTTGATACAGTACCATTAACTGAAATGAAATTTCTTTCATCCTTGAATTGCTCTGACTCTTTCGTTATATCAATGACCTTATAAGCTTGGATTTCTCTGGGCTCTTATTTATGTCTTAATGATCTATTTGATCTTTATCTTGACTACCTAAGTTCATTTGCAACTTAGCAATGCCATTTTCAGCTGTTCAGGATGATTTCAAACAAATTCTCACTATATCCTTATACTTCTTGAAGGGTGGAAAAGGTCAGACAAAATTAAGGCACCCTGCAAGGAATGACTTGAAATCAGCTTTTAAAAGGAACCTCTGTTCTTCAAACTTCGCCAGTCATCTCTAAACCTTTGCTGTCTAACATAGTAACCAGTAGCCACTGGTAATATTACATGTAAATTACTAAAATTAAAACAACAAAAAATTGAGTTGCACGAGCTATTTTTTCAAGTGCTCAGTAGCAGCATGTGGTTAGTGGTAACATTTGCACAGTGTAGACTTAGATTTTTCTGTAATAAAGATTTACTAATCGACAGTGTTGCTACATCAGGATAAACACAATTGTTAACCAGACAGTAGCTAAATATCATAAACATTCATGTTGATCTTAAAGTGGTTCTAACCTTTATTTTTAATTTTCTAAATTTTAACTCTTATTTTAGATCCAGGGAGTACATATATAGGTTTGTTACATAAGTACATTGCATGATTCTGAGGTTTGAGATACTATTGACCCTGCTATCCAGGTACTGGGCATAGTCCCCAGTAGGTAATTTTCTCATTTTCCCCACTCCCGCCCCCACATTCCTTTTCCTCACTGTCACGGAAGGAAAGATTTAACAGTGGGAATGAACACTACAGCTCCTAAAGTAGGATGGTGAAGGGTTGAAATGATAGCCAAAGGTGGTGGAATCTAACTGCTTTTTAGCCTTGGAATGGGGTGTCTCCCTCTCTTGCCTGGCTAAGATTTTGGTGGTAGTCTTTGGTTTTTTAAAGAACATGCTTCCCTGACCATGAGGAATTTTTACAAATTGGTATGAGTCCCCCATACTTCCTGGAACGGGGTAGAAAATGTACCTCTGTTGTATCCTCTTTTAATCTGAGAAAATATGTTTGTTCTTCCAGCCCCCAATGTCTTCTCAACCTCTGTCTATAATATTAGCTGCTATATTGTTATAGGCACCTCCTATCCTCTTCCACTTTATTGACCCAGGGGTTAGCACCTGACTTGGACAATGCCAATTAGTTTTTCAAACAGCCTTTGTAAACTTGTCAGCCTCTAAGCAGGTAAAGGCTATGATATTAAAAAAAAAAAAAAAAAAAAAAAAAGATGATCCCAGCACTTTGGGAGGCCAAGGCAGGCAGATCACTTGAGGCTAGGAGTTCGAAACCAGCCTAACCAATGTGGTGGAACTCTGTCTCTACTAAAAATACAAAAATTAGCCAGGCCTGGTGGCACATGCCCATAATCTCAGTTACTTGGGAGGCTGAGGCAGGAGAATCGCTTGAACCTGGGAGGTGGAGGTTGCAGTGAGCTGAGATAGCGCCACTGCACTCCAGCCTGGGTGACAGAGTGAGATTGTCTTTAAAAAAAAAAGCCGTTAGTCTCCTCCTTTTGGATCATGGAAAGAAGTGGTACTTATGGCAATGGAGTCAAGGCAATGAGCATATAAATGTGGTGATAAGTTACATGTCATTTAAATTCCTACTTCTGATTCCTGAGATCTAGTTGCCTTTTTGCAGTTGATATTGTCATATTCACCTTTTAATTATCAGATAGTCTAAACTTGCAGAAAGTAGTTTCGTAGTCACTGTTTTTTTTTTCTTTTTTTGAGACGGCGTCTCACTCTGTTGCCCAGGCGGGAGTGCAGTGGTGCGATCTCAGCTCACTTCAACCACCGCTTCCTGGGTTCAAGCGATTCTCCTGCCTCAGCCTCCAGAGTAGCTGGGATTACAGGCATACCCCACCATGCCAGACTAATTTTTATATTTTTAGTAGAGATGAGGTTTCACCATGTTGGCCAGGCTCGTCTCGAACTCCTGACCTCAAGTGATCCACCTGCCTCGGCCTCCCAAAGTGGTAGGATTACAGGAATGAGCCACTGCACCTGGCGTGTAATCACTGCTTTTATGCAATGTAAATTTTTCCTCAATGTTTGACATCATCTTGAAGTTCATTTTCTGGTTATTAGACTTGTGAAGCCTAGTGGAATACAACTTAATACTAGATTTTCATACTTAGTTTTCTTCCTTCCCTTCTTTCCAGTTCCAGCTACGCTGGGGTTTGAGTTTTGGAGTATATTCTTAAATGTGATCTTTCTGTGGTTTTAAAATCTATTCTCTTCCCCTACTTTTCCTGTGTTTGCTGGGATAGAGTAATGGTATTAAGACATGAAAAGAGAAAATATCTCTTTGCTGAAATTGTTGTAGGGGTCTTTTGGCCAACACTGAGCATAGATGCCTTCTCCACGGTGGGTCCAAATGCCGGTCTTCCTCACTTAATGACTTTTTGAGTGGGTCTATCATGAACATCAGATTTGATCCTTGGATTTCTCACTTGGTGCTGGCCGTCTTAAGGGGAATCTTAGCAGATGGGATTGAACTATATTGCCGTCTATATAGGCATCCACTGAGCTCTCAAAAAAAAATGGTTTCAATAGCAGATTATAGAAGTAAAGGCTATTATGCCTTATCTATTCGCAGTCCATTTTTCTCCCAGATCAAATAGGCCAGGACATATTAGCCCTTCTAAATTCAACAAGAGATATAGAAAATTTGAATGAGATTTTAGCCTCCCTTTACACATGTACTCTGAATCTGAATCATTCTCCTGGAACTGCCTACATGCTGGCTTTGAGAGACGAGCAAACCACATTCCTTTTTCTTACATGCAGGGAAGGAAAGAGCAGCAGTGGGAATAAACACTACAACTCCTAAGATAGGATGGGGAAGGGTTGAGATGGTAGTTAAAGGTGGTGAAATCCTTTTTAACCTTGGAATGGGGTGTGTCTATG
Organism: Homo sapiens; assembly: GCF_000001405.40. Lineage (NCBI taxonomy): Eukaryota > Metazoa > Chordata > Mammalia > Primates > Hominidae > Homo > Homo sapiens. The sequence continues at coordinate 119,021 of NW_019805498.1, forward strand.
TCTCTATTTCCTGCCTAAGATTTTGGTGGTAGCATCTTTTTGCATACATATGGGTCTCTGTTTTCAATTTCTAATCTTGGGATGTGTGTGTGTGGCCTGGCTTGGTTGAGTCATAGTCCATTCAGCATAGATAGAATGTTTGTCACATCTAACAATCATTTTGCTCTTCAAAACTTTTATTGACCCCGGAGCCTCAAAGTCAAGTCAAGGATCAATTCTGGATCAATAAGTACCATCCTATTCAAGGTTCTGTTACAAACTCTTTATTTAGATTTACTGAGCTACTTTGCCTTTCCTCCACAAGTCAGTTATTTTGGGTTATCACTTATAACGAACCTATCTAATACATATTTTTCCCACAAAAAATCTGTACAGCTATTAATCCTGTGCTTTTCTTTTGTTTGCTCTGCATTTAGGCTTAAATTCCCCTCTGTGATGCATTTTGGAATGAGTGGGTTTGATGCCCACACCTTGAAAGAAATCCCTCAAAAAACAAAAGGACAAGAGTCACCAACTCCCACACAAAGTAAAACATGGACACTTAATTTTAACAGTGTTAATAAGGTGAGAATATTAAGGTTGTTTATTTTATAGTTAACCACAATTTGTTAAATATAACTTCAAGGAAGGCAATGATGTAAATTCCTATTTGAATGCTGCATGCTGAAATTGCTCTGGTTTTAATATGAACCCTGTAGAATTAGGTACCGTAGTCTGTACTTGGATATAGTTATCATTTTCTTGTTGCAGATGAACATGAATAGGTTCCATACTGGTCAGTTTCCTTACCTATTCTCTCAGGTACTAAACTGTTCATTTTCAATATAGCCTGTGACAAAATGAAATTGTTGTCATAGAAGGCCCATACCAGATCTCTAATTTCATACTAATATTTGTAGAAAAACATGTCTATATACATATATGTGTATAAAATAAGTAGGCAGATAGGTAAACTAGGCTTAAATTCAGAGGAAGTCACTACATCTAATTCGCACTTTTCCTAAGATTAATACCTGTAGAAAACACTCTTTTTAATCAGGATTTTTCTACTGAGCTTATTTTAAAAGGATGTCAGAAAACTTGTGCATATTGACAATAGCCTTGAAGTTGACATTTCATAAAGAAATAAGCTTTGTTCTAGAGATCTGAAAACCACTTAAAATCAAAGTTGAAATGTATGATGTAATTACTTGATAGTCTCAGAAAGGCAGTCATCTAGCCAACACATAGATGCTAATCACTTCTAATAGCATAATATCTAATGGTTATATTTGATATAGCTGGTTAGTTCCATAGATTACATTTTAGGGTAGAAATGTGATTTTTTTTTCCACATTACTTCTAATTGAGCACCCATGAGTTCTCTGAACGTGTTTTCTTTTTAGGTAAGGTTATATTTAAGCAGCTCTTAACTGCTTTTCCCCCCTATCCTACAGGAGCAACTATCCAAGAAGTCACTGTATCAATAATGCCTGTGTTATAACACCCTCTCCTCCCTAAAGCAAGGGAACAAGTGATACATCTTGTCTGAAAACCAGTTTCATCAATACTGTTGATGTGTCTGTACAAAGATGAGTAGCAACATCTGTTACCAGTTTCACTACATTTTGGAGTTTTGAATAACATATCTATACCATGATATTTATACTTTTTAATGAGTTAATTTTAAGTGAAATTGCCATTCTAACTCTGAAATCAAGCTCATACATAATAAAGCTTGCCCATACCCAGTGTGTTCTTTTCTGAATTAACATTCAGCATTTTTATGATTTAGTTGCTCACTTTAGTTTTACCCATTATTCTTCGTAACCGTGTCTTAGTGAAATATATTGAAGTCTCCCTCTTTTATAATGCACTCAAAAGGAGGATTTTCCCATGAGCCCTTCATCTGTGGCTTTCTATACTGCTTTTTTCTTTTCTGTTTCCTGATAATGTCTCATGAGGAAACATTGTAAACTTATTTTGACATTGTGCATTTCTTTTCTATTACCTTGATAAAGCAAGAATCTAGAAGAAAATATTTCAGTTGCTTTTTGGCCTAATTCTGAAAGTGTTGTAACCATACAGGGCCACAACTACACTGTCACACCACCCTTCCCACCATCAGTGCTTTGGTGGAGATTTTCTTAGTGAACAAGATGACTTGCTCTTCCTTTTGAGGCTCCTGAATTGATCGGCAAAATGTCGAGTAGGGAGATCCAGCTATGAATCCCAAATAAGAATTCCCATTGCATGGAGGGTGGCAAAAATAATAGTGCCAAGCACCAGGAGTGGGAGCTCACATATCTAGACCCACTGAATCTATCTTGGAGTTGCCAAGGATGACTTGGCACACACAAGGCACTGGTTGGAACCAGTGTCTTTTTTTGTGTGTCCGGAGAGAAGGAAAGGTGAAGCAAGGAGAAAAGATGAAGCAAAATCAGCATTTGTTGTGTGTATTAGTCTCCCATGTAGGTCCCTCCTGATAGCCAATGCAAAGTGGGGGATGCATGCACCCCTCTGGAGCTGTAGGCAAAGACCCTGATACCTTACCACAGGGGGTAGGTATACCTATACCGATACCAGCCAAGTGCCATGTGACACCCACACCTTAAGCAATACAGCGAATGTGCCTTGTGTACCCAGAACAGGGAAATGATTTATTCTAATAAAGAACCTGGAACCAAGTGACAACTTCGCTCCCAGCTTCCATATAGCACAGTGTCCCAGGCCCAGTGAAAATCCCTTAGAGGGACGGCAGGCTCCACAATAGCTGCTTATTCCAACACAAAAGTGCTCAAAACTCAGATCATGCTGATCACAGCTTGCATCCCAGGTGGAAAGATATCTAATTCTTCTCTTAATTTAAATTGCTTAGTATATCTCTGGAAGTGAAGTCTTGTGCCTTTGAGTATACTGTAAAAGAGTACAGGTGCCAAACTCATTCCAGGGAGCCTGAACCAGAAAGTACCACATACATGAGCAGGGATGCATGCACACAAATGATCTTTACTCAAAGCAGGGTCAGTCTTCTTCCATAGGGAAAATGTAGTTGGGGCAGAACATTCTTATGGCTAGACTTCTTGCTCCTGGGAGGGAGAAAAACTCATGGACACAAGAAAATGTGAAAAAGGTCTCTCTCCACCTCTTTAGACACAATTTATTTTTGCTAAATCTGAAAGTACCTCTCTTTCCCCTCTAGAAATGGGGATTTTTGTTCCAAGAGAATACAAAGACATCTAAATTTGAGTCATCTAGAACTGCTAAATAACTTAGCTGAGCTGCTGGGCTTGGTTGACTAACAGGTACCTAACTATGTCAATTTCCTGATCTTCAATCCTTCCCAAGACAGCTGAAGCTGGAAAAGAGCTGGGATTGGTTGAAGGGACTGAATACTTTTGTTTTTGAAATGAAAATGACAGTAAAATTTTGTCATCTGAATATATGTGATTCTTTTACTATTTTTATTTCTTTCCACCTTGAGTAAAATTAAAGATGCAGCATGACTTGGCCTGACCTTTCTTTTTTATTTGATTTTTGAGATGGAGTCTCGCTCTGTCACCCAGGCTGGGATTCAATGGGCACGATCTTGGCTCACTGCAACCTCTGCCTCCCGGGTTCAAATGATTCTCCCACCTCAGCCTCCTGAGTAGCTGGGATTACAGGCACCCATCATGCCTGGCTAATTTTTGTATGTTTGTAGAGATGGGGTTTCACTATGTTGGCCAGGCTGGTCTTGAACTCCTGACCTCAGGTGATCCACCCACCTCGGCCTCCCAAAGTACTGGGATTACAGGGGTGAGGACACTTGGCCTAATCTTTCATTTCGATAAACCCTAGTAGATTTTTGACTACTCCTGGAAATATAAATCCCAATTAAAAGATATTTTTGGGCTCTTATAAAAAAGTTAAAAAAATTACAGATGCTTGCCAGGTTGCAGAGAAAAGGGAACAATTACCTACTGCTGGTGGGAATGTAAATTAGCTCAGCATTGTGGAAAGCAGGGTGGCAATTCCTCCAAAAACTTAGGGCTATCATTCGACCCAGAAATCCCATTATTGGTTATATACCCAAAGGAATATAAATCATTCTACCATAAAGACACATGTTTGTCCCAGCACTATTCACAATAGCAAAGCCATGGAATCAATCTAAATGCTCATCAATAGTAGACTGGGTACAGATAATATGGTGCATATACACCATGGAACTCTACACAGCCATAAAAATGAGGCATGTCCTTTGCAACAACATGGATGGAGCTGGAGGCCATAATCGTAAGTGAAATAATGCAGGAACAGAAAACCTAATACCGCATATTCTCACCTATAAGTAGGAGCCAGACCTTGAGTACACGTGGAGACAAATCAGGGAACAACACACACCAGGGCCTACTTGAGGGATGGAGGGTAGGAGGAGGGAGAGGATAGAACACTACCCATCAGTTACTATGCTTATTACCTGGGTGACTAATCTGTACACCAAGCCCCGTGACACGCAGTTTACCTATATAACAAACCTGCACATGTACCCCTGAACCTAAAATTTAAAAATAGCCATCTGTGGCCCTCATTGCAATAGGATACATGCATTTATTTAACAATCACTACAGTAATGAGGCAGGTACTCATTAACTCAACCTAAAAAGTCTCAATGGTGAATTCAATTGACCAAAATCTCTACATGTCAGAATGAGGTTTTGATCCAGATGCTTTTGGTTTTAGATCTTAATTTTTGACATTTAATGTCTGATACTTTGAAAAATCTTAAGTTTTTAAAATTAACTTTTAATGTAAGTATTCACTAATTCCAATAATAATGATTTCAGGGATATACAGTGTATCAAAGGGAGATCAGATGGATAACAATCTGTTTTATTTTTGACAAGGATTTGTGCAGCTGTGAAATTGAAGAAACAATGTCTCTGGGTTAAAGAATCTTGTTAATTTCCTGGAGACATAGCAGTAACAGGCTGACCAGAAAGTTGGCGAAAATTGTTTTTGACTTGAAAGGTTAGAGCCAAGGGTCAAGAGAAGTGGTACAATTGAGGATATATTTTGCGGGATATTAAAACATACAAATGGTTTGGACACAGAGTGTGAGAAACACACTGGAATCAAGCATGTCTCCTGTGATTGGGGGCTATAAGTGGGTGACTTGTGGTGCTATTTAGATGGGAAAGATTTCTTTGGGAGTCAACACTTAATGTTTGTGCAGGCTTAAAAATTTAACATCTTTTAAATTTAGCAGTTTTTGTGGTTTTCTTTCTATCTTGCGTTCTTCATCAGTATTCAGACAGGATTTTTGCTAATCACTCCAAAAAAGGCTGGACTCAAACTTAATGTGGTTAGGGGAGTTAGCAGGTTTTGTCCTCCTTAGTAGTTGTGACAAAATGTAGAATAAAGGCAAACTGAAAGTCAGTCCTGTGGGTGCCCTGGTCAGAGAATGGGACAAAGTGGGGCACAGGGAGGTGTCAGATAGGTATGATCAGAGATGGCCTCTACAACTGCTGGCACCCGAATAATCCTAACAAAGGAATTTAAGTAATGCAGTCTTCCCATCCCTTTACTTCTAGCATATATAGTGTAACCTAGATAGCTACAGAGAAAACTGCTGTAATATTTATTGTTTAATTTTGATAAAGCTAATCAATTATTTACACATATGAGTTCATTATGCTAAGATATGCTTTGGGTAATACAAATAATTACACATGGGGTCTCTGCCAAGCATACTCTGAACAAAGTGTGTATAACAACTTTAAAATTTCCTTATGCACTTGCTTTATTCTGCATGTGTATCATAGAAAGGTTGTTTTACATTGGGATAAGGTCACAGTGGTGGTATAGTTTGAGTTGCCCCAAATCTTACACAAACAGACAGTGCAACCAATATATTGAAACAAAGCACACAGACTGTTATCTTTAGAACTTAGTGATCAGGTATCCCTAAAAATTGTAGAACACAATGAATGGGGCCAACCAACTGCCAATATGAGGCCCTCTACAGGGTTTCATGAAAACTCGGGAACAATTACTAATGGGATTCTTTTATTCTCGTTTTTTTTTTTTTGAATTGGATCAATGAATCCAAATTAGCACATATGACTGCTTTAAGTTTTTTTTTGAGTAGTAATATCCATCATGCTTGTTGAATTTTTAATCAGTTTAATAATTTGTTAGTTGATTCTCTTTTTTTAATAAGTTGATTATATCAGCTGAAACTAATATTGATATTAACTATTTCAGGCCAGGCACAGTGGCTCACACCTGTAATCCTAGCACTTTGGGAGGCCAAGGCAGGTGGATTGCTTGAGCCCAGGAGTTTGAGACCAGCCTGGGCAACATGGCAAAACCTCATCTCTACAAAAATTAGCCAGACATGGTGGTGGGTGCCTGTAGTCCCAGCTACTCAGGAGGCTGAGGTAGGAGGATCATCTGAGCCCAGGAGGTCGAGACTGCAGTGAGCCATGATCATGCCACTGCACTCCAGCCTGAGTGACAGAGTGAGATCCTGTCTCAAACAAAAAGTAACTATTTCAAATATATAAACTTTTTGTCTCTTGTCGGAGTGCAATAAGTTTTTTTTTTCTGCAATAGCAAAGTTAGAGGCCTTGTTTTGTGCTTAGTTTTAATAGAAATAATTATTCTCAGTATGATGTATCTCTGGGTATATTATTGATATATTAATTCTTCTGGCCAAATTTTTAAAAAATCTTGCTTCTGCAATAGCATCCTTTCTCAGTGATCACTGTTTGTCTTTAGTAGATCCTCTGTGGTTGATATTTCTCTTCTTTTCTAGCTTATTGGGGTTCCTAGGGATTGGACATTGAACTGCTCACCCCATCTCTACATATCCACTCCCTTGGAGAGTTCATTCAATCTCATTGTTTTAACTAACATCCCTGTGCTGATGGCTTCAAGTTACATCTCTATCCTGGACTTCACCCCTGAAATGCAGACTCAGTTATTCATTTTCCTCTACAACATATTCACGTGGCTGTTCAAAACACTGTTTAACCAAAGTATGTATAACATGAATGCTCCTATTTGGAGGTTTGTGGAATGGAGGTTTCCCACTCCAAACCTCCACCTTTAGCCTTCCCTATCAGAATGTCACAAAGATATTCTGTCCTACGTATTTCTCTTAAAAAATTACAGTCTTGCTTTTCACATTTAGATATGTAATGTAATAGTTTTAATTTTATTTTTAATAAGATCATATAACATAAAATTTACCATCTTAACCATTTTAAGTGTACAATTCTGTAGTGTTTAGTACATTTACATTGTCATGTAACAGAACTCTTCATCTTGTAAAACTGTAACTCTGTAGCCGTTAAACAACTTTGCAGCCACAATGCAATAATGCTGGCTGCTTAGACTTTAAAAACTTTTTAATTTTTGCAGGTATATAGTAGGTGTATATATTTATGGGGTCCCTGAGATATTTTGATACAGGCATGCAGTGCATAATAGTTGCACCATGGAGAATGGGATATCCATCTCCTCAAGCATGTACCCTTTGCATCATGAAGAATCTGATTACACTCTTCATTATTTTAAAATGTACAATTACGTTATTACTGACTGTAGTCACCCTTTTGTGCTATCAAATAGTCTTATTCTATTTTTTTTGTACCCGTTAACCATCCCTATCTCCCCCGTACTACTTTTCCCAGCCTCTGGTAACCATCCTTCTACTCTCTATGTCCATGAGTTCAATTGTTTTGATTTTTAGATCCCACAAATAAGTGAGACCATGTGATGTTTGTCTTTCTATGCCTGGCTTATTTTACTTAGCATAATGGCCTCTAGCTCCATCCCCGTTGTTGCAAAAGACGGGATCTCATACTTTTTATGGCTGAATAGCACTTCATAGTTTATATGTACCACATTTTCTTTATCCATTCATCTGTTGATGGACACTTAGGTTGTTTCCAAATCTTAGCTATTGTTAACAGTTCTGCAACAAACAGGAGTGTAGATATCTCTTCAATATACTGATTTCCTTTCTTTGGGGTATATATGCTGCTCAGAATTTTTGATGTCAGGACTCCTTTAGACTGTTAAAAATATTGAATTACAAAGAGCTTTTATTTATATGGGCTTTATCCATCCACATTACCACATTAGAAATTAAAACTGAGTTAAAAATATTTATTAAATAATTAAAATAGCTAATAAACCCAACAGGTGTTAACATAAAATAGTGAACATTTAGTGAAAAATTACTGTTTTCCAAAAAAAGAGTGACATCATTTTATATTCGCATTTTTGCAAGTCTCTTGTCTGGCTAACTAGAAGAAAATTGGATTATCATATCTGCTTCTGCGTTCGGTCTTTGTAATATGTCACTTTGGTTAATGTACATAAAGAAAACCCTGCCTCACACAGATACGTGGTTGGAAAAAAGGAGAGTATTTTAAAAGCCTTTTCAGATAATTGTGGCTTTTTTTTTTTTTTTGATACTGCACCAAAACTTACTAAGGGGCAGTATCTTCGAGGTTTGTTGCAACATGGGATCTGAAAATATATCAATAAACTCTTCATACTTATTCCCATTAAAATCCACTGGTCCCTCTTGTACTTTGCCCATGAATGTTTCTGTAACATCATGTGCAGATAATTGGGAAAATTTTAGTTCAGAGTTATGCAGATGTTTTAAGTGATGATATTTTATTATGCAATACAAGAAATCATAGTTAAGATATCACCAGTGAGCTTCCAAGCTCATAGTAGAGAATACAACTTTTTCAAAATGCTAATTTTTCCTTTAAGCTTGAATTTTATCACTGAGTTTAATTGTTGTTAGTTGTTTTCTTTGAAGTGACAAGTTTACATCATTCAATTTCAAAAAATGTCGAATACCCACGGGCGAATAATCATTGTTTGTCTGATAGTCATTCTTTAAGTAAAGATGGTGTTCTATGTAACAAGTGGCTAGTTCAGCTCACAGCTCCAATAACTGCACAGATTTTCCTTGAGACACTCTTCATACTTTGATACGCAGCAAAAGTGTATTATGCATACTTTCTATTTTATCACTCTGAATAGTAAAAAGGCATGCATTCAACGGTTGGCATTTAATAAAACAGATACTTTTTACTGCTTCAAGACTTAAGTGAAACTGGCTTTTTCCCTTTACTGTGAGTGCACAGGGGTGAAGAATACAATGGTGACTAACAAACTAACACATTCTTATGCTACTACCTTGATTGGTGCTCAAGAGGCAGGAGCATTTCCCACCACTGTTTTTGCACACCTGTGCAAATGTCGACATTATGAAAAAGAAAATGTGTTATTGTGAAAATAGATCTGATCCCATGGACCCCTCCATCATCTAAGTTCCAATTATTGAGAAGCACTCTAGTAGAAGAATGGCCTTATTTGTTGGATATATACTTCAAAATATTTACAGTCAAGGGAACATCTTACCAGCAACCTGCTCTCAAAAGGTCCAGGAAAAAGAAAGTTTTTTTGTACTATAGTTGCAACATTTCCCTAAGTTATAAATTGTTTTAAAATATTTGTTTTATCTCTGCTTTATCTCCATTTTACATTAAAGTTATATTTAAATTCCATTACTGTTTCACAGTAAAATTCTGTATTAAAATTGGAATTTTTGGAAAATGAACTTTGTTCATTCTGCGGCTTTGAGTAATCCTTGAAACATTGCATAAAGTCCTGTTACTAACTGTGCTTCAAGATACAGGAAATAGTCATATATTAGATATTTTTTGTACGCTATTGACTTGAGCAAGACAGTTTACATTTGCTATGTCTTATTCACAATAAGTTTAGAGAGAATATATCTCCTTTTTACAGCGTATGAACAGCAGCCTTAGCTTGTTTAACTTTCTCAAACTGAAATACAAGAAACTGGCCAATGATTCCTTTTGGAACAATATTAGATGTTTACATAGGCAAGATTTAAAAGCTGCATATGAAGTTAATAAATTTTAGATCCTGAAAATGTTCTTAACATCAGAAAAATGTTTAAAGAAATGAAAGATGAAAAAATAACATGTAGACTTGCCCTTCTCTTTCTCTAATACTCTTTCCCCATTGGTGGTTGGGCGACTGGATTCTCCAGGCTTTCCTGATGCAGAGCACTGTGTGGGTCACAGCTTTGGGGATCTCACTGTCCACAAGAGAATGTAATGTCAGAAATAGAAGTCCTTCTTAAATGCATAGGGAAGCTCTGTGCATGTAGTCATTTGACAGCAGACTGTAACATTGAAAATATAATTCAGATATGACTAAAAGCAATAATAGGCATTTAATTCAGCCTCTTTGAATTTTATTTACTGTTAGCCTTTGATTTTCAATTACCCTTAAAACCACGCAGTCACATTCAGGCCGTGACTAACATTTTAAAAAAATACAATAAAAATCTTTGGCTGGAACTTTTATTCTACTTCAGTATTGAAAAAATCATAAATATAAATTATTATACATATACAGTTATGTGTATATATATGCATATAAAATATTCTCTTGTCTCAGGTTTGAAATGACTAAAGTTACCAACACCTTAATTTAGAAAGAATCAACAGAGAGGGAATTGTCAACTTTCCTAATACCAATAGACTTGACTTTCCTTTGGGTGCCTGTCCCCTCCTAGAGATTTATGTTCCTGGTCAAGTCAGTTTATCATGTCTGCTTTGCTTCTTCCAGCCAAACCCATAGAAATGAAGAAATAATAGTCTTTTGATTTCAAGTATGAAAGATCTAGGCTGTTCTCATATTAGATGGAAACTTAAAACACCTGAACGTTAGCTAGTAAGAACAGTTTCCTGTAATTTAGTATTTACTGGAAGCATTGTGTGCCATGCCATCCTCCTGATGTTTGTAACAGGACTTGTAAAGACTGTTATCAAATAACACTTTTTTCTTGATATGTCTCTTTGAGCTTCAGTGTTTGGATAATCAAGAGAGTCTCAGCCTTTAGGTAGCTGACACTGTGATAAGAGCATCCTGTGAACTACCCAAATAAGGAGGAAAACGAACGCAGCTGAGCATGGGATGCCATATAAAAATCACTTAAACCAGTCGCCACTCCTTGTTTCCTGAGTTGTCCTGTGCTGGAGGTCTGCTCAGACGAAGGTCTCCATGGCGTTAGAAGTCTTGATGCTCCTCGCTGTCTTGATTTGGACCGGTGCTGAGAACCTCCATGGTAAATAACAAGTTTTAGAGAATGCTTCCTCGAAGGAGTTAATCATAATGATCGCTTTCCATGCAGGTGTTTTACTCCCTGAAGAAATCTGATCTTATTCTAACTGGCTAGAAGAAGAAGCGCTTTCAGGCCAAGTAGACTTGTGTCAATATACGGAGGATACATTTTCTCTTTCTGCCTAAATGTCCCAGTTCTCAGGCTTTTATTTCTCTCTCTCTCTGTTTTGGTCTTCTCTCTAACTTGAGACTCATTTTCAGAGGTTCTTCAGGAATAGTCCTTGGCTCTCTTTCAGTCTAACATTTCAAACCCCTGCCAATTACTGGTGCTTGATTGTATCACATTGTAAGATATTCAGTTGCATCTTAGCTGATCTTCCTGCTTCCAGACTCATATTTTTGCTTAATGCTGATATTATTGCTGTTTTGTTCCCTTAAAAAGACTGCTCTGAACTTCACCCATGTTAAACTCATCAACGGTTCTGCAAAGTTAATAGGAGAAAGCTAAGTCAGCGCGTTGCTGTCTACAAGTTGATTCCAATGTATCTTTTCTGTTTTGCCTGGAATCCAAATGCTTGCCAGCTCCAAGGCCTGACTAAATGTAATCTGTAAAGTAGCATTTCAATATTACTTTTTATGTTCTTTATGGTTTCTTTTTGTAGACTTTTTTTGGTAATTTGAAAGGGGGTTTTTCTTTGAAACTGATACGTCAATTTCTTACCCATTTGGCCTGTAATACCTTTGGAAGCAAAGATCACATATAGCTCCTGATATTTTTCCATTTTACCTAAGATGAATTTTAAGAATGCCTAGATCAGTGAAGCTCACCAGGTAACAGTTAACAGTTAATTATTGAAATGAACAGCACATGGAGAGAAAGAGCCACTGTGAATTCTGGCTATTTAGGGTGGGTAGGGTGTTTAGGCCCTAACTGTCTTTCAGGAAGCCTGAGCAAAGGAAGATTCTGCTGCAGTGAAAGTATCTATGTGTGTTTCTCAGGCTTTTCTCAGCTATTTGATAGAACGTCAGACTAAAACTGAGTTTCTGGCTGGGCACGGTGGCTGATACCTGTAATCCCAGCACTTTGGGAAGCCGAGACGGGTGGATCACCAGAGGTCAGGAGGAGTTCGAGACCAGCTTGGCCAACATGGTGAAACCTCGTCTCTACTAAAAATACAAAAAGTAGCCTTGTGTAGTGGTGGGCGCCTGTAATCCCAGCTACACGGGAGGCTCAGGCAGGAGAATCACTTGAACCCGGGAGGCGGAGCTTGCAGTGAGCTGAGATCACACCACTGCACTCCAGCCTGGGTGACAGAGCGAGACTCTGTCTCAAAAAAAAAAAAAAAAAAAAGCAAAACTCCGTCTGAAAAACAGGCTGGGTACACGGTGGCTCACGCCTGTAATCCCAGCACTTTGGGAGCCCAAGGTGGGCGGATCACGAGGTCAGCCAGGCGTGATGGCGGGTGCCTGTAGCCTGTAGTCCCAGCTACTCGGGAGGCTGAGGCAGGAGAATGGCATGAACCTGGGAGGCGGAGCTTGCAGTGAGCGGAGACAGCGCCACTGCACTCCATCCTGGGTGACAGAGCGAGACTCCGTCTCAAAACAAACAAACAAAAAAACCCCCCCAAAACTCGACTTTCTAATGTTACTGTGAAAAAAAATGCAGTGAAATCATAAGTATGGGCTTTCTGTGTGTCATGCCCACTTCTCCTTTCCATCCATCTTTAATCTTAGCTGCTGGAATTTATTTTCCTTTAGGAAGGACCTTCCTGATCATCTTTCCTAGGTGATGTGAGAACAGTATTTCAAACACGTAGAGAGACGTGATTTAAAGGTTATGATCACTAATGCAGGACATTTGCCTCTACACCTTTTCTGAAATGTGCATTGTCTTACCTTGTTGATGATTTCTCTCTAAAGGCGGAACTTCCAAGCTCCAGTGGTGGTGGAGTCCTCTGTGGCCACTTGCTCATTAATAATTTAAATATGTACCTTTTAATGCTGAAAAGACTCAGTTCCTCCAAATGAATCTATTGCAAATAATGATTATTATTGACTTACTGACGATTTAAATATAGAGGATAAAGATGGGTTTTACAACAAAACGTGCATGGAGCTAACATCCCAAATAAAGGGCTTTCTCTCTCTTTTTCCTTTTATGGCTGAGATTGTTTCTGGTTCTGGCTGCTCTAGACAAGAATTCTACTGTTCTAGAACCACCCTTTCTCCTCTTTCTCTTTCCAAAAGTATACTGGGATGATATCGCTTTTATTCTAACACATTGCAATTCACTTCTGCCCCTTATGTTTTGTCCTAAATATATCCCCCTCCATGGAATATTTAGGAAATATTAAGGGGCTATACGGTTATGGTTTTTCATTTTCTTTCTTATTTTTTTTTTCTTTTTTGGAGTCTCTCTCTGTCACCCAGGCTGGAGTGCAGTGGCGCGATCTTGGTTCACTGCAAGCCCCGCCTCCTGGGTTCTCGCCGTTCTCCTGCCTCAGCCTCCCGAGTAGCTGGGACTACAGGCGCTTGCCACCACACCCGGCTAATTTTTTGTATTTTTAGTAGAGACGGGGTTTCACTGTGTTAGCCAGGACGGTCTCGATCTCCTGACCTTGTAATGCGCCCGCCTCGGCCTCCCAAAAGGCTGGGATTACAGGCGTCAGCCACTGCGCCCGGCCCATTTATGCTTTTTCTTATTCTTGCATGTTGATCCTCCCACCTCCTCCATGAAATTGCTGAAATCTAGTTACATGGGGGCATAATTAGTTAGGTATTTTGGAAAATAATTTTAATAATGTTTGTAAGAAAACCTTTAAGCCATGGTTACCCTTGCCAGAGAAATAAATGCCTTTTATTTATCACAGAGGGCAGAGTTGACTATTCTTTGAACACTTTCTTAAGATAGACACCCTTCTGATGCTTTTCATATGGTTCTTTCCACAGTGAAAATAAGTTGCTCTCTGGACTGGTTGATGGTCTCAGTTATCCCAGTTGCAGAAAGCAGAAATCTGTATATATTTGCGGATGAATTACATCTGGGAATGGGCTGCCCTGCAAATCGGATACATACATATGTATATGAGTTTATATATCTTGTTCGTGATTGTGGCATCAGGACAAGGGTAAGAACAGTGATTGTTTGTAAAAAATACTGCATGTTTTGTCAGACTTTTATGCCTAGTATTAAAATTGTCTTTTAAAAAAATAATGTTTGCTTCTCATTGTAGTAATTTATGGGCAGGGGACAACGGAATTTATCATTATTTTTCACTGAATATTGGGTCATTCTGTGTGCACAGGACCTTAGATCACAGATTTATAAATTGGCTAGGGAACTGATTCTAAGTTGCCCTTAGGCTACTATTATATTTTACTAAATATTAGCAGACTGCTTTAAATTTTGTGTGATTCTTCTAATGTGGAAGGTCACCAATCTTGGGAAGCTCCATCATGTTCAATGTTAGGTCATTTGAAATCTATCCATGTTCCATGAGGATTTGTGTAAATATATAGTGGATTTTCATTGAAATGAAATCTCTTGTCATTCAGCTAGGCACAAATCCTAAATTGCGTTGTTATCCTGGGATATTATCTTCTCACAGATTCCCAAATTTAAGCAATTTATATTCACACTACACAAATATTTTGGGCCAGTGACCAATGATAATAACAATCATTTTTGAATAAAGTATTTTATTTTAGAAATTGGGAACTTGGAGCTTCAGAAGGTGCTTTACCAGCTTTTCCAGGGATGCACTGCTTGTTGGTGGTAGTTTAGATACCAAACCAGGATGAATACTCTCCGAAGCTTGTGCTTTAAACCACTCTCCGTTATTTGACTTACAAATCACCTTTCTCAAAGGAACTGTTGGAAACCTTTTCATTAATGAATCATAAAGATGGCTGTAAGCGGCAGTTTAAATTTGCTGCAATGAATTAAGATTGTTTTGCCCCCAGGCATTTTAAATTCACTCTTAGGGATAACACTCCTCTTCTGTCCCAGTGAGTTGTCATATCTTTATTTATATTTAAGAATGACAGTAGCCATTTTTGAGATCATGAATGTTTTTTACATCCTATTCAAGTGTGTGTATTCCTCATCTGTTACTCCAAATATCTTCCACTGAAACTTCATGCTCTCCTAGGTAGTTTCTGAGGAAACTCTCCTTTTTCAAACCGAGCTGTACTTTACCCCAAGGAATATAGATCATGACCCTCAGGAAATCCATTTGGAGTGTTCCACCTCTAGGTAAGTCCAGCAGATTTGATTCCTTTGGAATGTTTTAGCTTTACCTTTGCTTATGAGAAGCTTCTGCAGAAGCATAGACTTTAGAGAATATAACATGATTCACCCATAAGTATAATTGTAAACAAACCCCAAATTAGTATTTACACAAATATTTTAATGAGTACTTTAAAATGTTTTAATATTTTGAATGTAATGTTTATTTTAGAATAAAAACATATAGATTTATAATGGTCCTAACAATCTAGTGTAACTATGTTATTTTATAATAACTCAACTACAAAGCAGAGTCATTAAATACTCTGTCACCTTTAGTAAGTGATAGGATTAAGCACTGATATTATCTTTCAATGTTTTGTCTTTTATAATATTCTGATACATTTTATTGCTCAATTTCATCTTATAAGAGTAAGTGGCTAAAAACATAAGAAAATCAGTCCTTCATTTAATACTAACTCATGGAGAATACATGAAGGGAGGGCTTATCAGCCTAATTATTAAATGTACTTTGCTTGCAATTTTGTGGAACTGAGATATTGAATCCCAAGAGCCTCGTGTGAACTTTGAGACTAAGTGGAAAGGTATCCTGATACACTTTTTTTTTTTTTGCCATGCCATTGAAATATTTATGTTAAGTCTTATAAATCTGAGTGAAGAACCTTGGAAACTATCTCAAAACCACAGGAAAATTTTTATCCTTGCTTAATATGTGAAAATAGTTGACATCAAAATAAGAATTTAGAGCTCAGCCAATGTGCAATGTCTTAATGTGATTATAGTACTTTTTCTCAAGGAGAGGCAGAATTTTTTTTTAATTTTGGTAAAATATACATAATCTTGTACATTTGTACAAGTTGTAAATTTGTTAAAATGTATATAATCTTTTTTAATTTTGGGAAAATGTACAAATCTTTTAATTTTGGTAAAATGTACATAATCTAAGATACCATTTTAAGTGTACAGTTCAGTGGCATTAAGTCCATTCACATTGTTAATACTTTTACTCTTCCCTTTAACTTATTTTCATAAAGTATTTTCATAATACTTTTACTCTTCCCTTTAACTTATTTTCATAAAGGCTGAGGGATTTAGTGATATTCAGGAACATAGCTGAACTCTAAATAGAAACCACCCCTTGATTCTCTGTCTCTATCTCTGTCTCTGTCCTTGTCTGTCCCTGTCTTTCTGGTCTGTCCCTGTTTCTCTGGCCTGTCTCTCTGGTCTGTCCCTCTGTCTCTCACTCTGCCTTTGCCTCTGTCTCTGTCTGTCTGTCTGTCTCTCTGTCTTTGTCTGTCTCTCTCTGTCTGTCTCTCTCTCTCTGTCTCTGTCCCTGTCTCTCTGGTCTGTCCCTGTCTCTCTGGCCTGTCTCTCTGTCTCTCTGGTCTCTCTGTCTCTCGCTCTGCCTCTCTCTCGGTTTCTCTGTCTCTCTCTCTCTCTCTGTCTCTCTCTCTGTCTTTCTCCCTGTCTCTCTCCATCTCCATCTCTTTGTCTCTGTCTACCTTTCACACACATACATATGTTTTCAATTCTATGAACTACCCAAAGCTTGGAGCAACACAGAGTTCTGATCTAATGCCTCAGAACTACTGCCTTTCCGTAGGCTGCCAGAGTAATCATGATAAATAGATATTCCTATTTTGATAGTAACTACTATGTTGCTTGAAGCCTACTTTCCTTAAAAAAAAATGAAGACTTGGCCAACAAAGTTGTCTGTTTAGGTTTTGGGTGCATGAATTTTAATGTTGTAGTCTCTCTCTCTCATATTCACTTACTCACATTGACATATAGAACTTTGCTGCCACTACAGTGGGACAGATTAAGCTTTTGGTGGCTTTTTCTTACTGTTCTTAGGATCCATTTGGCTGAGTCTGTTTTGCTGGGTACATTGGTACTCTTCTAATGCAAGCATCACAAATTATCTAAGACCATTCATCTTTCTACTCAGTGTTTGATGCAGAAATCATGGGGAGACTATCTGGAATTAGTTCTTCTGTAAGCCTATCTGCTCAAATCCTGTACCAAGAGTCCACGAGGATCTAGAAGGCGTAGTATGCTGGCTCTATGCCATACTCCTGAATGACTATTCTGTATATGATCATGATATTAAACAGTGGTAAAACTGACTTGATCCCAAGTGCTCCAACACTATCTGCTTTCTGTTTCCCTTTTCTTTAGGAAATCAGTGTGGCTTACACCAGTTTCTACTGAGAATGAAATAAAATTGGATCCTAGTCCTTTTATTGCTGACTTTCAGACAACAGCAGAAGAGTTAGGATTATTATCTTCTAGTCCAAACTTGCTCTGAGCTAAAGGAGAAATGGAAACTTGAAGCTGGTGTTATGTATTTTGCAGGAAAACAGTTTCATTTTTTCATAGCAAAAATATAGTTGGTGTATATCTCTCCTTAAGTCTCTGGTTTCTAAAAACCCTACTTCAGTAAAGGTCCTGATTAGTTGATTAGTGAATGTGTATTTCTAAATATTTGTATTCAGTAGGGGTATGGCTGATTAATTTAACATTAACTATTAGGTAATTCATATTATACATTTAAGTTCTTTCTGTTCTGTGTAGAAGATTCAGAAATATGTCTTCAAAGACAATGACTTGATCTAATTGATAAGAACCTCCAATAAATATGTTCTAATATTTTTCAGGAAGAATAAAGAATAGAGAGAGACATATAAATGTGCAAGAGGCAAAACTTTGAGCATAGTGTAAAATTTAACATATTAACTCTCACGAAAGGCAAAATCCTTTTATGTGCAGATACTTTAATTCATGTAGATTTTCCTATTAATCAGTAAAGTTGAATCCTAACAATAATGCCATGTGACAACCTATTTAGATTATTCCAGAATTAAATTCAATTTATTTTCTAGAGCTCAAGTAACCACTACTTTAACTGAAATTTGATGTTAGGTTTCCCTTGTTCCTCCGAATGGTTCTTCCACACTCAAAATAATTGAATGGTTGAGTTGGTTAAGCAAAGAGTTATCCTGCCACCTAAGAGCATTCATTAAATGATTATTTATTACCACCTACTTTATACTATCTTCCTTTCTTTAAACATGGAGTCTAAATATGTAATATATCAAAAAATACTTCTGATTTGGTAGATTTCTTATATCAAGGGTGAGAATTGAACTGTGCCATTGGCTATTCAATAGCTTATTGAATGTATGTTTTGGATGCCACATCCTCCTGGAAGCAAATTTTGCCAAGATACTGTTTATTATTATTTTTAATTAAAGTGATACTATTCCATTTTCAATTAAATGCTGTCTGTAGCTGTTAACTTGTCAGATAAAGAATTTGACCCTGTCATAGTGAACATCTGTCTTTACCAGTTAACATGCAGCTAAGAGGTAATACTTCTATGGGACTTCCTAAGGGTCAGAATATGGTACAAGTACATTGCGATAAATTATTTAATCTTCTTAAAGAGTGAAATATATCATGATTATCCCAATTTTACAGATAAGCAAACAGAGGTTAAATCATTTGCCTGAGTCACATAACTTGTTGGTGTTGGTTCAAGATTTAAAATAGGGCAATCTGCCTTTAGATCTGTCTCTATACTCTCTCTTTGTATATTAGCCACTATACTCTACTGCTTGGAATCATCTTAAGTTGCTGAACTTTAGTTCTCTAGAAAACAATTGCTATTCAAGCAGTTATACAACTCTCAATAAAACTTAAAGTTGAGCAATAGTGTTTCTCTTGAATATAGAAGTAAAATTATTTTATATAAACCGATTTGAGAGAATATTGGGCAGGTGAATGGTTGCTGAAAACAAAGTAAATTATTGAGTGTGAGATAATACGTATGTACAAGATAAAGAGTGATGTGGCTGGATTTTAGAAGGGTGGCTCTAAAGCCTCTTCATTTTTTTCTTTTTTAAAAAAATTATGATTTACACATAATAGTATCTATCAGTGATGTTTCAATACATATATAAATCACGTAATGAGTACTTAGCATATCTGTCACCTTACACATTATTTCTTTTAATGAGAACATTCAAAAACCTCTCTTCTAGCCATTTTGAAATATGCAATACATTATTCTTAACTTTCATCATCCTACTATGCAATAAAACACCAGAACTTATTCCTCCTAACTTTAGCTTTGTTGACCAATCCCTCAGCATCCCTCCTCCTCCTCTCCCCTCCCCTCCCCGCCCCTCATCTTCTGGTAACCACTATTCTACTTATTCCACATATGAGTGAGATCATGTGGTACTTCACTCTAGTCAGATAGCTACTATAAAAAATCAAAAGATAAGTGTTGGCAAGGATGTAGAAAAGAAGGAATCCTTACATACTGCTGGTGGGAACGTAAGTTAGTACAACCACTATGGAAAACTTTATGGAGGTTCCTCAAAAAATTAAAAATAGAACTACCATATGCTCCAGCAATCTCATAACTGGGTATATATCTAAAGGAAATGAAATCAGTATGTCAAAGAGATATCTGTTCTCCCATGTCCACTGCAGCACTCTTTGTAATGGCCAAGATATGGAGTCAACCCAAGCATCCAGCAACAAACAAAATGTGGTGTACATACACAAGGAATACTATTTAGCCCTTAAAAAGGAGAAAATCCTGCCATTTCGTTTTGTAGGTGATGCCAGTTAGGCTCAGAAAGAGGAAGTAATTTGTCTTAAATTCACATAAACGTTTAAGAATGAAGCCAGGCCAGGCGCGGTGGCTCATGCCTGTAATCCCAGCACTTTGGGAAGCTGAGGCGGGTGGATCACCCTGAGGTCAGGAGTTTAAGACCCATCTGGCTAACATGGTGAAACCCCGACTCTACTAAAAATACAAAAATTAGCCGGGCATGGTGGTGGGCACCTGTAATCCCAGCTACTCAGGAGGCAAAGGCAGGAGAATCGCTTATATCCAGGGGGCGGAGGTTGTAGTGAGCCAAGATCCTGCCATTGCATTCCAGTCTGGGTGACAAGCGAAACTCCATCTCAAAAAAAAAAAAAAAAGCCAGAATAAATATAGTTCCATTCTTCATTTCGCAAATTCTCCTACCTTCTTTAATTGTGATGGATTCAGTTATTTCTATTACATCTGTACATATTAGTTTAAAACATTTGAGAGTGCTTATTTTATGTGGTTGAATCAAAGCTCAATTTAGCTTCTCTCTTTTCCTCCTAAGTAAACCAGGGAATATTATATATTTAAGACAAAAATAATTCAAGTTAAACATATACATTACTGCTAACTCTTTGGTAGCTTTTAATTATACAAAGTCAAGCTTTGCCTCCACAAAAACTAAAAAAAATCTGCTGATCATGAGAATTATACTGGATTTTACATATTATCTTTAGTGAATTTCTTATTCAATCATTTACCAAAAGAAGAAACAATGCCCATGCCCATAAAAACATAATGGGGAACCCATCAGGCTACCAGCAGCAACATACAGTTATCTTGGAGAGATAAGAAGTCACTGCAGACACTGTAAGCAGAGGAGTGACAGGATCTGATTTATATTATAAAATCACTCTTTATTACCCTGTGAAAAATGGATGAGAGCAGTAGCCAGGAGCGCATGTAAGAGTTTTATAAAAATTAAGGCAAATGATGATGTTGTCATAGCCTGAGTTTGTGGCAGTGAAGACGGAAAAATATGTGGGCTCATTTTCTATGTATTTTGTAAAATATTTCCAAATGGATTTAAAGTGAGGTAAGAAATTAGTGAAAATCGAGCCTGACAACCAGATGTCTGGTCTAGGCAATTGTGTGGACAGTAATAATATTTACTAAAATTGGAAAGATTGAGGATAGGACATTTTTCCCACGATAAGTCTGAACTGTCAAAGTAATAATTAACTGGATAATTAGTCAAGGACCACCTTGACTGGCATTTGAGAAAATGAAAGCAAGGGGTGCAATAGGATTGTAGGATCTATTTTTCTTGACTGAATTCTACTAAACGGTATTTACTCTCTCATTCTAATGTATAAAAGTAGGTAAACATTTGAATCATCTCTATTTCTATAATTAATTTAAATATTTGAGCAAGTCCTTTGTTTTCCCATCTCTGACCCGTCCTCCATTTGCCCACAAAAACTTGTCTCTCTCTCTGTGTGTGTGTGTGTGTGTGTTTAAGTGATTTGGGGGAGTTATAATCACCACACTGTTCTTGAATAGTAGTTTAGGGCAATGACCGTTATTAGAACAACTGAAACCTAGGAGTGACTTAATTCAGATTTCAAATTATTTCAGGTCTCAAACTGCCAGTTGTATAAAGCAGTATAAATTTGTTTCTTTACCTGCATCAGGCAGTACTGATTAGGTTCTGCTACAATAACATGACCTCAAATATCAGTGTCTTAAAAAAACAAATGTTTATTTATCACATGCAAAGATTTCAGTCTCAAAATCATTGTCATTTTGGTTGAGGTGTTGCTTACATGATTACCGGTCCTTATTAGAAATCAAAGATGCAAATGATAAAATAACCAGTGTCTCTATTGTTAAGTACTCTGTTTGTGACTTCATGGCTGGTAGCCTGGTGAGACTTTCTATGTGTATATGTTCATTCTCTTTCATTACATGTAAGTTATGCAGGGATGAATTCATCAAGAATGCTTATAAAACCCAATATATTTCACACAAACAACAGACACTTTGTTTTCAGTTTTGCAGAAGGCAAAGCTAGACCTGGTATGATTAAAAATCATCAAAGAGTTAGTGTATTTCATATATTTAAATGCTGATTTATTTTTTCTTGAAAATATATCCCTGTTTTTCTTCAGAAGTGGAGAAGGTGACAGGTTAGAATAGAAATTCTTGCTTTAGAATCATGTTTTAGTGACGCGATGGAGTTAGAGTCTTCATTCCAGGAACAAAGGTGAAGGAAGATATGCTGCAAAAAGCTGAGTCAGTATGAGTCTCTGCACAGACCTAGGCCCACTGGGAATGAGATCTGTCTTCACGGACAGTGGGGACACAAACGCAGGAAGGTATGACAGCCATGTGGGCTTCTCTTTAGAAAAGCACCTGGGTCTTAGACGTGGACTTCTTACCCAGGAGGAAAGCACAAGAAGTAACTCCGGGTCTACGTGGGACCCACAAGTGAGTGACTACAGGGCTTCCTCTCCCCTACTACGTCTGCAGATTCATCTTCAATCAATATTTGGGACTAATTAGGATACACAAATACATCAATTTCTATTTCTAGTCTGGATATAAATTTAGGAAGATGTAGGGCTAGCAAAAGCCTCACATCATAAAAAAGAGATGGATTATTTTGATAAAGATCCGGTATTCCTCTGACGCTTGCAAAATAGTCAGAATTTCAAAAGGTTATATGATCTTTAATATGTGAAACTATATATTTAAAATGTTGAATGGAATAGAAGTAAAATTAATGATATTTTAAAGTCATTCCTAAAATTAAGGAGTAATCCTGAGGGCAGGGGATTCTATATTCTGTGAAAACCCTAGAATTCCTTAGCATCTACTGTTCTTCTTCAGAGAAGGTTGAAAAGGCATTTTAAAACTGAAAGCTGGTTTCAGTGAAATGTATGTTATACTGTTCTAATCAAACAAATCTACCGATGACTCAAAGGAAAACAAGTCCAAAAAGCTAATAGAGAAGCGAAAACCAGAAAAGAGTCATGATATAATACTTATACCTTGTAGCAGTTAGGGTTCAATCAGGTAAGCAGAACCAGACTGAGTGATATTGATAAGGGATTGATCGTAATTAATTTTGAGAACTGGGAAGGCTGTTACTTTTGCATCTGATGGTGAGCCTGATGTTGCTTGTAGGTCAGCAGGGCTGGCAACCTGGAAAACAAGCTGGACTTGAAAAAATGGTTAAGATGGTACATTTTATGTTATGTGTTTTGTACAGTAATTAAGCGACCTTGAAGCATGGAAGCAAAAGAACACATTGGAACCACATCTTCCTCTCATCTCCAACCTTAATCACAAGGATGACCTGGCATCCATTGCCATGGAGTTGTGCAAGCACTTGGTGCAAGACTCAGAGATGCTAAAGGAGATTTGGTGAGAGCAGAAGAAATTATAGGCCCAGCTATAGTCCGGTACTAGGGAGGTGAGCCAGAGGACCAGAGACAAAATGTGTAACCTGCACCCTAAACCCATTTTGGTGCACCATGGCTACTGTCTTACTTTCTACCTTCCAAATCCCACACAAATTTCTTATATGACCAACCCAAAGACTGTTCAGGAAAGATAATTCTAGTAAATGTAGTTACAGCTTAGCTAAATTTACCCAGAAATACTTTTAGGCTGGTAAGAAATGGAGTTGAATGGTGCCATGGGTGGCAGTAAGTGGGAATATTGAGTGCTACATGCACTGTATGTGTGCACATAGAGGTGCAGACATTCTAGAGTTTACTACCTGGCAGTCCTCAGTCAAGTTAATTATGTGCACATCCTATGGCCCAGCAATTAGGATTTTGATTATACATTGCAAAGAAATCCTCACACAGAATTAAGGAACATGGGTATGAGAAGGTTCCTGATATCAAGCTACAATCCCTGTGTGTTCATTTATGGGTGGTGGTTAGGTAAAACATAGTGGATGTCAGTGCAGTATTTGGATACAGCAGACTGCACACTCACAGTGGCTCAGGCCTGTAATCCCAGCACTCTGGGAGGCGGAGGTGGGTGGATCACTTGAGGTCAGGAGTTCGAGACCAGCCTGGCCAACATGGTGAAACCCCTGTCTCTACTAAAAATACAAAAATTAGTGGGGTGTGGTGATGCGTGCCTGGAATCCCAAGTATTTGGGAGACTGAGGCAGGAGAATCACTTGAACCTGGGAGGCAGAGGTTGCAGTGAGCCTAGATCATGCCACTGCACTTCAGCCTGGGTGACAGAGTAAGACTTCTCTCAAACAAACAAACAAACAAACAAACAAACATTGGGTATTACTAACAGAGCTGAGTGAAAAAGAGGACCATGATATATATAACACAATGGCATTTAGGTATCTTAAGAATGTTTTTCCTTGTAAATTTGTTTGAGTTCATTGTAGATTCTGGATATTAGCCCTTTGTCAGATGAGTAGGTTGTGAAAATTTTCTCCCATTTTGTAGGTTGCCTGTTCACTCTGACGGTAGTTTCTTTTGCTGTGCAGAAGCTCTTTAGTTTAATGAGATCCCATTTGTCAATTTTGGCTTTTGTTGCCATTGCTTTTGGTGTTTTAGTCATGAAGTCCTTGCCCATGCCTATGTCCTGAATGGTAATGCCTAGGTTTTCTTCTAGGGTTTTTATGGTTTTAGGTCTAACGTTTAAGTCTTTAATCCATCTTGAATTAATTTTTGTATAAGGTGTAAGGAAGGGATCCAGTTTCAGCTTTCTACATATGGCTAGCCACTTTCCCCAGCACCATTTATTAAATAGGGAATCCTTTCCCCATTGCTTGTTTTTCTCAGGTTTGTCAAAGATCAGATAGTTGTAGATATGCGGCGTTATTTCTGAGGGCTCTGTTCTGTTCCATTGATCTATATCTCTGTTTTGGTACCAGTACCATGCTGTTTTGGTTACTGTAGCCTTGTAGTATAGTTTGAAGTCAGGTAGCATGATGCCTCCAGCTTTGTTCTTTTGGCTTAGGATTGACTTGGTGATGCAAGCTCTTTTTTGGTGCCATATGAACTTTAAAGTAGTTTTTTCCAATTCTGTGAAGAAAGTCATTGATAACTTGATGGGGATGGCATTGAATCTATAAATTACCTTGGGCAGTATGGCCATTTTCACGATATTGATTCTTCCTACCCATGAGCATGGAATGTTCTTCCATTTGTTTGTATCCTCTTTTATTTCATTGAGCAGTGGTTTGTAGTTCTCCTTGAAGAGGTCCTTCACGTCCCTTGTAAGTTGGATTCCTAGGTATTTTATTCTCTTTGAAGCAATTGTGAATGGGAGTTCACTCATGATTTGGCTCTCTGTTTGTCTGTTATTGGTGTATAAGAATGCTTGTGATTTTTGTACATTGATTTTGTATCCTGAGACTTTGCTGAAGTTGCTTATCAGCTTAAGGAGATTTTGGGCTGAGTCAACAGGGTTTTCTAGATATACAATCATGTCATCTGCAAACAGGGACAATTTGACTTCCTCTTTTCCTAATTGAATACCCTTTATGTCCTTCTCCTGCCTAATTGCCCTGGCCAGAACTTCCAACACTATGTTGAATAGGAGTGGTGAGAGAGGGCATCCCTGTCTTGTGCCAGTTTTCAAAGGGAATGCTTCCAATTTTTGCCCATTCAGTAAGATATTGGCTGTGGGTATGTCATAGATAGCTCTTATTATTTTGAGATATGTCCCATCAATACCTAATTTATTGAGAGATTTTAGCATGAAGGTTGTTGAATTTTGTCAAAGGCCTTTTCTGCATCTGTTGAGATAATCATGTGGTTTTTGTCTTTGGTTATATCAAATTTACAAGAAAAAAAAACCCCGTCAAAAAGTGGGCGAAGGACATGAACAGACACTTCTTAAAAGAAGACATTTATGCAGCCAAAAAACACATGAAAAAATGCTCACCATCACTGGCCATCAGAGAAATGCAAATCAAAACCACAATGAGATACCATCTCACACCAGTTAGAATGGCAATCATTAAAAAGTCAGGAAACAACAGGTGCTGGAGAGGATGTGGAGAAATAGGAACACTTTTACACTGTTGGTGGGACTGTAAACTAGTTCAACCATTGTGGAAGTCAGTGTGGCGATTCCTCAGGGATCTAGAACTAGAAATACCATTTGACCCAGCCATCCCATTACTGGGTATATACCCAAAGGACTATAAATCATGCTGCTATAAAGACACATGCATACGTATGTTTATTGTGGCACTATTCACAATAGCAAAGACTTGGAACCAACCCAAATGTCCAACAATGATAGACTGGATTAAGAAAATGTGGCACATATACACCATGGAATACTATGCAGCCATAAAAAATGATGAGTTCATGTCCTTTGTAGGGACATGGATGAAATTGGAAATCATCATTCTCAGTAAACTATTGCAAGAACAAAAAACCAAACACCGCATATTCTCACTCATAGGTGGGAATGGAACAATGAGAACACATGGACACAGGAAGGGGAACTTCACACTCTGGGGACTGTTGTGGGGTGGGGGGAGGGGGGAGGGATAGCATTAGGAGATATACCTAATGCTAAATGACGAGTTAATGGGTGCAGCACACCAGCATGGCACATGTATACATATGTAACTAATCTGCACATTGTGCACATGTACCCTAAAACTTAAAGTATAATAATAATAAAATAAAAATAAAGTCTCTCTTGCCATAAAAAAAAAAAAAGAATGTGTTCATGTAGAACTCAATGGTTACCTTTCGTGAGGAGAATGCAAATCAAGGCAAAAGAAGATTAAAGAGCTGTAATATTTCACATGAAGCCCATCTTGCACTATAGAAAATGTACTTATCAGGATGAAATCCCATTAAAATGGCTGTCAAAAATGAAATCTGTTTAACTCCAAACTAAGATACAATTTTACACCCTAAAATAAAGTACATAGGCCACCCTAGTAGAAGAGGTGATCTTTCTTAGAGAAATGCATTTGTTTTTTCCTATCTTATTTCCAACTATCTCGTTATAAAGGTCTTTTAGACATACCCAGTAGTTCTACAATCTGGCTTCACATTAGCGTTACCTTGGGACCTTTAAAAAATGTTTGTGTTGGGCTGAGTGCAGTGGCTCATGCCTGTAATCCTAGCACCTTGGGAGTTTGAGGCGCGTGGATTACTTGAGGCCAGGAGTTCAAGACCAGCCTGGTCAACATGGTGAAACCCTGTCTCTACTAAAAAAAATAGAAAAATTAACTGGGCATGGTGGTGTGCCCCTGTAATCCCACCTACTCAGGAGGCTGAGGCACAAGAATCGCCTGAACCTGGGAGGCAGAGGCTGCAGTGAGCCGAGATTGTGCCATGGCACTCCAGCCTGGGCAACAGAGTAAGACTGTCTCAAAAAAAAAAAAAAAAAAGTTCACCTTCATGTTGGGTTCATGACAAATATCCTGATTTAATGTCTTATAAACTTCCCAGAAGATTCCACTAGGTAGTTGAAAGTAGAACTGTTGTATTAGCATTTTCTATCTAGGCTATTTCCATGTTTACCAATAAATGACATGATAAATTCTTCCAGTTTTCTTAGGACCTCTAAAACAACAGTGCCTTCATTCAAATGCTAAGATTGGATTTCTAGTCCATTTTCCTCGTTTATTTGAAAACACAGCATGAGGTCAAAACAAGAATGAATCAAAGATAGTTTCTGATTGTTGGTTTTATTTTATTTGATGGCTCATTATTTCAAGACCTCTTGGAACAACAATCCTTGTCCGTCTTAATCTTTTATTAATCTTACAATTATAGTAACTAATGCCATTTCAACGTGATTTCAACTTGTGACTTTTGCAACATTATAAACTGGTAAATTATGAATTAAACACGTTTAATGCACCCCAAAGTCAAAAACCTTAGGTGGTTAAGTGTTTTAAGAGCTTATACATGTGTTAAGATATATAAAGGTACTGCTTCATGAAGAATGTGATTTTAATATGTACACACATGGGCATGAGTGTGTATGGGGGGGTAAAACAGACAGTGCAAGCAATAATATTTAGTAAGTAGATAAGACCAGCAAGTCTTGAGAAATATATTGCTTTTTAGTCAAATGGGGCACTTGTAAATGAATAGCTAGACTATAGGTGAATTCACTCGAAGATTTCCTTTTCCTTTTGGAAATTTGCTACTTGAGTTTTGAACTTGATTATTCTTTAAGGTATTTCAGCACTGAAAGCTAGTCAGTCTCTCCTTGATCATGTCTCCTTGCCATTGGGAAATATTGCATGCAAGTGGAAAAAAGGTCTATGAATCTTCTATTTTTCCCTTTTTAATTTGTTTAAAAAATTTTTTAATTTATTTATTTTTATTTATCAGCCATAAAAAAGAATAAGATCCAGTCATTTGCAACAACATGAATGGAACTGGAGATCATTCTGTCAAGTGCAATAAGCCAGGCACAGAAAAACAAACATCACATGTTCTCACTTGTGGGATCTAAAAACCAAAACAATTGAACTCATGAAGACAGAAAGTAGAAGGATGGTTACCAGAGGCTGGGAAGGGTAGTGGGGGCCTGGGAGGGGAGGTGGGGATGGTTAATGGGTACAAAAAAATAGAATAAATAAGACCCACTATTTGATAGCAAAACAGGGTGACTGTAGTCAATAACTGTACATTTTTAAGATAAAGAGTGTAATTGGATTGTTTGCAATGCAATGGATAACTGCTTAAGGGGATGGATACCCCATTCTTCATGATGTGAGTATTATGCATTTCATGCCTGTATCAAAACGTCTCATGTACCTCATAAGTATATACACTAGGTACTTACAAAAATGGAAAAAATAGGGGGCCGGGCGTGGTGGCTCATGCCTGTAATCCCAGCACTTTGGGAGGCCGAGGCAGGTGGATCACGAGGTCAAGAGATCGAGACAATCCTGCCCAACGTGGTGAAACCCCATCTCTACTGAAAATACAAAAATTAGCTGGGCGTTGTGGTGTGTGCCTGTAGTCCCAGCTACTCGGGAGTCTGAGGCAGGAGAATTGCTTGAACCCGGAGGCGGAGCTTGCAGTGAGCTGAGATCGCGCCACTGCACTCCAGCCTGGTGACAGAGTGAGACTCTGTCTCAAATAAATACATAAAAAATAAAAATAATTTTTATGTATTTATTTTACTGTTCCCCCCTCAGCTTTAATGAGGTACAGTCAGATACATATGTTCTGCAGATCTAATGAACAGCATGATAACTGAAGTTAATACTGTACTATGTACTTGAAGTTTGTTAAGAGAGGAGATCTTAAATGTTCTCACCACCACCACCAAAAAAAAAAAAAGATGATTATGTGATCTGATGTGATCAGTAGATTATCTGCTTTGTGTTAGTGACTTCACAATGCACACATGTGTCAAAACATGTTGTACATGGTAAGTATATTAAATTTTTATTTGTGAATCTTCCTTTGAAAGCAGTTTCTCACAATCATTCTCTAAGGAATTGAAGAAAGAGCTCAATCATTTTTATTATTTACTTTGAACTCATGTGAAGATCTTAGTTATTAAGACCTTTACATGCATTCTGTCATTTATACTTTATACCCCAAAGTGGGCACTATGATCTTCAACTTACAAATGGGAGAACCGAAGTCTTAGAGTTTAAGTAACTTCCTTTCATGGCTTTTTCTACAGCTCCAAATTCAAAAAGAGCATGTTGAAAGCATCCACTCTTTCCTTTCATTTCTTCAGATTTCTTTCTCTTCTTCGCTGAAGGCATTTTCTTGTCATCTCTTTCTTCTTCAGTATTCCATTTGCAATGGTTCTGGATAAAACGGGGAGGGAAGGATCTTATCTTTACCACCTTCCTTTTGGCTATTTCCTTCTGACTTCTGTCTCTGTCTCTGTCTTCTCTTTCATCAGTCCCTTCCTTCGCTCCTAAATGTAGACCCTGGAGAGCCGCTGCCCTAGGGCTCAGGTGCCAGCTCTCTTAGCAGAAGCACCTGTGCAGAAATTTTCTGGCAACTGGGCCCCTGCTCATTTCATATTCACAATCTCTGCCCACACACTATGTTTTGGTCTTGGTAACTGGCCCTCTTTCTCTTTCCTGTGATCACGTCCCCACTGACGCTCCTGTTTGTAGGACTAGGACCTCGCTTTCCTTGCTGTGAACATTCTTCTCTGTCTCACAGACTCCCCTGGGGCATGGATCAGGGGCTGTGCCCTCATTCTTTCTCTCAGGCCTGGCCCTGTGACCTTCATAAGGATTGTGGTTTGAATCTTCACGTTACCTACTTCCTTACTCCTTGTCACTTGGCTCTGATCTTTCTATTGCCTATTTTAGGACATTTATTTAGGATAAGCATATAATTTGGCCACTTTTGAAACTGAAAGGAGGCCGGGCGCGATGGCTCATGCCTGTAATCCCAGCACTTTGGGAGGCTGAGGCAGGTGAATCACCGGAGGTCAGGAGTTCGAGACCAGCATGACCAATACGGTGAAACCCTGTCTCTACTAAAAATACAAAAATTAGCTGGGAGTGGTGGTGCATGCCTGTAGTTGCAGCTATTCAGGAGGCTGGAACAGGAGAATTGCTTGAACCCGGGAGGCGGAGGTTGCAGTAAGCCAAGATTGCACCATTGCATTCCAGCCTGGATGACAGAGTGAGACGCCATCTCAATAAACAAACGAAACAAACAAACAAATACAAAAAACCTAAAAAAACCAAAAAACAAAAAAGAAACTGAAAGGAGGGGTTTTAACAATCATATTAGGATAACAGGCACACTTCGGGCTTCACCATTGTACAAAACAGAGATTTTGCACAGGGCTTTTCCAGTTAAATTTTAGAAAAGCTGGGTAACATTTCTATACCATAGTTTTCTCTACCATAACATCGGGTTAATAGTAGTACCTGGGTCCTGGGTTATTGTGAGGATGAGATGAATTAACATATGTAAAGCATTCAGAACAATGACCTGTATGTAGTAACCATTTAATACATTTAAACAATAATTAGCATTATTATTATATCTGTGATATTGGGCAAAGTAATTAACCTCTCTAAGCATGTAAGAATTGAATGTCATCACGCATATAAGGTACATAGCACCGTTGCTGGCACATCATGTAAAATAAGTGCCTGAGTGACCACCTCCCTCCTCCAGATGCTTCTCTTACAGTGTGACTTTGTCTCTTCTTGCTATGCACCTAACACTGTTCTACCTCCAACCCACAACCTCTTCCCACTTGTCTACCCATATTGTTGCTTGTGTTTCCTGTTCCAGCAATGTGTTAAGCAACATCTGAAAGCCAGAAGACAGTTATCCCTCACACCAGTTTCCTAATCATCACTAAGCCCTGGGGAAACACAATGGATCAGCGAGGCCCCAAATGCAGATGTGATTAGCACACTGGTCAGTCAGCCCGCAAAACACTTTCACCAAGTCCTCTAAAGTGTTGCATAAGGCAAAGATAACGTTAAGTCTGTGGAGGCTTCCGTTATCGGGAAAAGATGCTGTAGTGATCTTTTCTGAGTGTCTCCTACTTGCGACAAGGTGGACTTGGGAGGAAAGCCGTCTGCCAAAGCCTGAAGCCTCCAAGGTATAGATTCCCTCTCCATAGACATTCCCCTTTCTTTTATATCTTTCGTTAAAATGCCTCCCAGTGGACTACTGGGGATGTCTGCAAAGGTCTCTGTTTGGTTGCTATGTAGAGGTTTGGAACATTTAACTGTGAACATGGCTTCTCTTTAGGATGTGATGATTCCTTTGGAGCCATGATAAAAAGTGTTAGACATAATAATACAGCAATTTCTTTGGGAAAATGTGGGTATGGATACACACACATGCACACGCACCTCTTAGGTACATTAAATCCCACTGGCTGCACCTGAGTTTGTCTGCCAGCTCTGATAATGAGGGGTGGTCTCGATATGCCTGAAGTATGGGGTCTGCAAAGTGCATTTTAGCATAGCTCAGGGGACAGTGGAGTGTAATGATAGCTTGAGGTTCTGATTTTTAGCTTCTCAAATTGCTGGCTGTGTGGGCTTGGGAAAGCTACTTAACTTCTTTGTTCCTCAGCTTCTTCATCTGTTAGATGGAAAGGATCATAGCAGTAGTACCCATTCATCTGATGTTGTGAGAACTAAATTAGTAAACATGGATAAAGCCCTTAGAACAAATGCCTGCCACATACTAAGAGCTGGAGAGATGAACTTAACTGGCAGTTTCCTAGAAAATCTACATTTCTCTGATTTTGTGTGTGTGTGTGTGTGTGAGAGAGAGACAGAGTCTCGCTCTGTCACCCAGGCTGGAGTGCAATGGCACGATTTCGGCTCACTGCAAACTCCGCCTCATGGGTTCAAACAATTCTCCTGCCTCAGCCTCCTGAGTAGCTGGGATTACAGGCGCGTGCTGTCACAACCAGCTAATTTTATGTGTTTTTAGTAGAAACAGGGTTTCACCATGTTAGCAAGGATGATCTCAATCTCCTGACCTCGAGATCCTCCCGCCTCTGCCTCCCAAAGTGCTGGGATTACAGGCATGAGCCACTGCACCCGGACCATTTCTCTGATTTTTTTAAAAATAAATAACTGATTTAACCAAATTTTAGAAAACATAGTTTGTTTCACCTGGAGGCTGAAAATTCTCCCTGATTATTTTGATTATTTGAAACAAATCAAGTTAAATAATATGGTTAGATATTTGCTCTCTTCAGAAATGCTCTTGGAGTTTCTTGAGATGAGAGGCTCCAGTGCTTGCAGAGGTATTTTCCATCATCATTTATCAGGATGGCTACCTTGGGCTGGACCAAAAGTCTGGTTACTGATTGAACATGTGTGTTAACTGAGTGCTTGCCATCTGATGATTCTGAGCTAGGCACTGGAGTTGCAGTGATGAGTAGACAACGAGGTAACAGACAAGTATCCAGGCAATTAAAGCTCAGGCTGATTAAGTGGTATGAGAAGGAAAGTTGAGGAAATTTTGAGAGCAACCCAAAGGGGTGCATGCTTCTTCCAGAGTTGGCCAGGACTAAAAACAGCATCCTGGAAGTATGACATGTGGGCTGAAAATCAGTCTGGAAGGGCCGGGCGCATTGACTCACGCCTGTAATCCCAGCACTTTGGGAGGCTGAGGTGGGTGGATCACCTAGGTCAAGAGTTCGAGACCAGCCTGGCCAACATGGTAAAACCCCATCTCTACTAAAAGTACAAAAATTAGCTGGGTGTGGTGGTGCACGCCTGTAATCCCAGCTACTTGGGAGGCTGAGGCAGGATCATAGCTTGAGCCCAGGAGGCGGAGGTTGCAGTGAGCTGAGATCGGGCCTCTGCACTCCAGCCTGGGAGACAGAGCAAAGCTCCAACTCAAAAAAAAAAAAAAAAAAAAAAAAAAAAAAAAAAAAAAAATTCAGTCTGGAAGGAGAGCAGAAATTATCCAGGTGAAGCTTGAGGGGACTTGTCTTTCAGGAATGGGGGATAGCACAGAGGATTGAAGACATTTGAGGGCTTAGAACTTCTGAAGGAAGACAAATCAAGAAAATAAGGCTGGATGGAGTTTTGAGATAGGGATGGGTGAGGGGTGAGGCAGGAGACGTAGGCGAGAGATTATCTGGTCATAAAGCAGCAACATTCTCCGTATTGCATGCATCTTAGTTCATTAGATATTTAATCCAAAATACACACAAATTTCCCAGTGGATAAATTTGAAGTCTTGGCTTTTTGGCTATTCTTATTTATACTTTTTGCAGATAATTACGTTAGGAACTCATTCACATAGAGTTTGCTTTAAGCTTTATTGATCTTCCCTCGCTCTTGGGTTCTGTACAGTGTTGAACACGGGGGGTTAAGGGTTCCTTGTCATTTCACATTTATCCATACTTAAATACATACAGAATGTAATTTAATCTTGGCATGAAAATCAATATTGGTAGGAAACTTTGATGAAGAGTATTGGTAGCAAAATTTTATGACATTTATAATAAATGTTTTATCAGTATTGGTAGAGAATTTTATGAATTTTTATAGCAATTCCCAGTGTAATAATAAAACATGGCTTGACTCTCACTTTAAGTCAATGCTTAGTAAATTTGTCATCACACTTAAATGAGTCATACACACCCCCAGAGTAGAGTATCAGAAAGGTAAACATCCTGAAAGTGGCGTGTATTTAGCTTGACAAAAAATTAAGTTATTAGAAAAATGGATCTAGTATATAATTTGTAACAAAGAGTAGAAATTAAGATACTATACTTTCTTTTTCAATAAAAAGCTTTTATTTTAGGTTTACGGGTACATGTACAGGTTCGTTATATAGGTAAATTCGTGCCACAGGGGTGTGTTGTGCAGATTGTCACCCAGGTACTAAGCCTAGTACTCAATAGTTATTTTTCCCGATCTCCTCCCTCCTCTCTCTGATAATCTCCAGTTGTTTTGTTCCCCTCTATGTGTCCATTTGTTCTTAGCATTTAGCTCCCACTTATAAGTGAGAATATGTGGTATTTGGTTTTCTGTTCCTGTATTAGCTTTCTAAGGATAATGGCTTCTACTTCATCCATGTTCCTGCAAAAGACATGATCTCATTCCTTTTTATGGCTGCATAGTATTCCACAGTGTGTATGTACCACATTTTCTTCATCCAGTCTACAAATGATGGACATTTAGGTTGATTCTATGTCTTTGCTATTGTGAATAGTGCTGCAATGAACATTCACGTGCATGTGTTTTATGGTAGAATGATTTATATTAAGATCTTATTCTTAACCCAATCGATAGTTATGGCAGAATACAGCATCATTTTATGTGTTTGTTTATGGTTCATCTCATGCCATCTCCCTCATCAGTTATAAAAGCATATAAGCATTTTACAACTATTTTGTGTAGGAGGGTACTATGAATTAGGAAGTTATCTTGCCCAACATTCAGAAGTCCAATGTAAGCATTCTGTGTGTACTTTAGTGATACATATTTTTCAGCTGTAATGATTGAGGTGGTTGTTTTGTGACCCTTATATATATACAAACTTGAAGTCCTTTTTGTTAGAAGGCAGAGTATAAGTTAAAAGCTGATACCACCTGTTCACAGGTTGAGAATTCCGTACATTATCAAAGTCAACTCTCGCAATGTTAATATAAAATTAAAATTATTCCCATTTTTACAGAAGTGAAAACTGAGGTTCCCACTACAAGGTCATGCAACTAGTAAGTGATGAAATCTGGATTTGAATTGGAATCTTCCATAGTGCTTAAACTCTGAAAACTGAGGTTCCCATTACTAGGTCATGCAACTAGTAAATGATGAAATCTGGATTTGAATTTGGATCTTCCATAGTGCTTAAACTCTACCATGCTATGTTGGTACTCAGAAAGACGTCTTCTATATAGTACTATATAATGTGGTGATTTGAAAAATATTGGACCTTAGAGTAGAATGTTTTTAGTAAAATCTGAAATGATTTATAAGCCATATGAGTTTGGGTAAGTTTCTCGGTCTCTCTATACCTCAATTTTTTTCATCTGTGAAACGGGAATAATAATAATATTATAACAGGATTAAGTATATTAATACATTCACAGCATCCAGACAGTGCTTGGCATATAGTAATAAGTACTAAATAAATGACACCTACTATTATTACTGGAATGTGACTAAAGCCATTATTCTTATAAAGAGACCACTGCTCAGAGAAACCATATGTCTGGTTGCCCTTGACTGACTTGAAGAAAGGCAGGGACTATATATCAGTGCATGCAAAATGAGAAAGAAATTGCTCTTTACCATTCCAAAGTTAAGTGAAGCACCAAGGCCTACTACAATGACCCGATGATGTCTACTACTCCAAGGCAAGACAGAATTGAATATTGTACAAACTCTGTTACTCTGCCCTGGTGTCCCATTTGTGGAGAGTCATTGTAATGTATGGACAGAATTGAACCCTTCTGTAACACTCAAAATTTTAGTAGCTAGTGGAAAAAGGGAAAGCATGAAGGCTTTGGATTTCTTTTCTATCACAGCCATAAACAACCCCAATGGCCTCCCACGAAGTTGATAATGCAGAGCTGGGGTCAGCCTCTGCCCATGGTACCCCAGGCAGTGAGGCGGGACCAGAAGAGCTGAATACTTCTGTCTACCAGCCCATAGATGGATCACCAGATTATCAGAAAGCAAAATTACAAGTTCTTGGGGTAAGTCAGCCTTAGTTTAAACACTGATTTAAGAGGGAAGAAAATAAATACAGTTGACCTGTGAATAACGTGCGTTTGAACTGTGAGGATTCCCTTACATGTGGATTTCTTCCACCTCTGTTTGCCATCCCGAGACAGCAAGAACAACCCCTGCTCTCCCTCTTCTTCCTCAGTCTATTCAACGTGAAGAGGATGAGGATGAAGACCTTTATGATAATCTACTTCCACTTAATGAATAGTAAATACATTTTCTCTTTCTTATGATTTCCTTAACGTTTTTAGTTTCTCTAGCTTATTGTATATAATATGTCACATACAAAATATGTGATAATCGACTGTTTATATTAATAGTAAGACTTCTGGTCAACAGTAGGCTATTAGTAGTTAAGTTTTTGGGAAGTCATAAGTTTTACGTGGATTTACCACCATGAAAGGGTGGGCATTCCAAACCCCAATGTTGTTCAAGAGCCAACTGTATCATGTAGAAAACCTTGCTTATGCTGAGAAGGAGGAAATTCTGAGTTATTTATCACTGACTTAATAATGATTGGAGAAAAGACAGGGACTTCTTATAGATCTGGGGAGCAGAAATGCAAAGGCATTTTCTCATGGTAGAAAACATCAAACCTTGGAGAACAGATTCCAAGACCCTTCATTTTTTGTTTTGTGCCTTTTGACCAGCCATTTGAGGAGGCTGAGCTCTATGAAGCTTATATTCTATATTTTAAATTTAAAAATTGGGTTGAGAGAAGGGTTAAAAATTGGGTTGAGAGAAAGGCTGAGTAGGATATGGCTTATCCTCTGTCTGCCTTCATCATATTATGATGCAAAAGCATGCTGGGAAGAGACTTTGACTCCATCTACCTTACCAATCATGTCTGTTTTACTCTCCTGCCACTTTCTGAGAGGAGTTCGTGAGAATGAACAGAAATGTGGGGGAGAGGTGAAGACGAAATGCTGCCACTGGAATTGGTGTGGATAGCGTGGAATAAAAAACTCTTTCAGATAAGCTCTTGTTCTGTTAATTTAGGCTTGACACTTTAACCATTTCAAGCACCGACATCTCCTTTCTGAGGAAAATTAAAATGGCCTGTTTTCAGTGTCCACTTTAGTATATGACTGTTACGCCTTTTTCCCCTTTCTTCTTTCAGGCCATCCAGATCCTGAATGCAGCAATGATTCTGGCTTTGGGTGTCTTTCTGGGTTCCTTGCAATACCCATACCACTTCCAAAAGCACTTCTTTTTCTTCACCTTCTACACAGGCTACCCGATTTGGGGTGCTGTGTTTGTGAGTATTCGTACTCCCCTGGCTGTATGTTATTTCTTAGATACCACTGCTGGAGATGTGTTTGATGACAAAAATATTGTTTGTAGGTTATTGGAAGGTTGCATGCTGTGGTTTTGATTCGCAATTCTTGATATAAACAATTAGAGACGATAAACTCTTTTTTATTTTTTAATTTAATTAATTACTTAATTAATTTATTTTTTGAGACAAAGTCTCGATCTGCCATCCAGGCTGGAGTGCAGTGGCATGATCTCTGCCCACTGAAACCCTCTGCCTCCCCAGTTCAAGTGAGTCTCTTGCCTCAGTCTCCTGAGTGGCTGGGATTACAGGCATGCACCACCATGCCCACCTAATTTTTGTTTTTGTATTTTTAGTAGAGACAGGGATTCACCATGTTTTCCAGGATGGTCTCGAACTCCTGACCACAAGTGGTCCTCCCAGCTTGGCCTCCCAAAATGCTGGAATTGCCAGGCATGAGCCCTGATGCCAGGCCAAAAATCTCTTTCTGATTAAGAGAAACCACATTTGCCAAGTACAAATGAAGTCCTAAAAATTATCTTATATATAACTATATGTTACATTTATAGATACTTAAAAAATTGAATGAAAAATGGGTATTGATGAATTGCCTTGTGGTACAGCAGAGAGTCCTGGCTTGAGAGTTAAGAAATTTGTCTGCTGATTACTGTCTGAAAGTCAGAAGAATCATTTCCATTATCTGGGTCAACATTCAATCAGAAGAAATAGGGGTGATTTTAAAATGTATTCATTCAGTTTTGATTATTTATTACTTCCCTGATGGTTCATTTTTAAAAAGTGAATGATATGTTTGTTGGCCATTTGTATATCTTCTTTTGAGAATTGTCTATTCATGTCCTTAGCCCATTTTTTGATGGGATTGTTTGTTTATTTCTTGGTGATTTGTTTGGGTTCATTGCAGATTCTGGATATTAGTCCTTTGTTAGATGTATAGATTGTGAAGATTTTCTCCCACTCTATGGGTTGTCTGTTTACTCTGCTGACTGTTCCTTTTGCCGTGCAAAAGCTCCTTAGTTTAATTAGGTCCCAGCTATTTATCTTTGATTTTATTGCATTTGTTTTTGGCTTCTTCGTCATTAAATCCTTGCATAAGCCATTATCCTAAGTGAAGTAACTCAGGAGTGGAAAATCAAACATCATATGTTCTCACTTATAAGCGGGAGCTAAGCTATGAGGATGCAAAGGCATAAGAATGACACAATGGACTTTGGGGACTCAGGGGGAAAGGTGGGAAGGAGGTGAGGGATAAAAGGCTACAAATTGTGTGCAGTGTATACTGTTTGGGTGATGGGTGCACCAAAATCTCACAAATTACCACTAAAGAACTTATCCATGTAACCGAACACCACCTGTTCCCCAATAACGTATGGAAATAAAAAAAATTTAAAAAATAAAATGAATAAAACTAATTGCATGGAAAGACTAAATAAATAAATAAATAAATAAATAAATAAATAAATAAAGTGAGCAGCATCAAGTACAATTCTGTGTCCTAGGATGTGAATTTAAAAGGGAGGTTTGTATGACTATTGCTGGATATCTGCTAATTGAGGGAGGACCAAGAAGAAAATGGTTGAGACTTAATATTCCTTTATCTGTTTTACTTCCTATTTTCAAACAGTTCTGTAGTTCAGGAACCTTGTCTGTTGTAGCAGGGATAAAACCCACAAGAACATGGGTAAGTAGCACTTCCTCTTTTTCTATGATCAGAGGAGTAGAAATATATTATTCATAAACAGTAGGACAGTAAGTGTCCATGAATACAACTGAGACACTGAGTATCATTTAATGCACAAAATATTAGTTTTCTTAACGTATTCAGATGGTAGGTCAGCAGAAGATCACATACATTGTGAGGATGCATTCCTGGGATGCTTGCTCTTAATATTGGTGAACTTGAAGCTTAGAAAAAGTCTTCTTGATTTTTATGTGTTGTCAAGTTTGACCAATTCTAATTATTTGGAAGTAAGAACTCCCACCACTAACTAGTTTGACAACTGAAAGTCCAAACTTCTATTCTAAACAACTGCTAAGTCTCTATGATGTGTTCTTAGTGAGTCACGTAGCCACTGATACTCCACTTTCCTACTCCATTCATTCACTTTCCCTCCTCCATGGATAGCTATTTTACCATTTTATTGTATCCTCAAACACCAATCCCACTTCTGTCATCCTTACTCTCTGCTGATGATTTTTCTGTCTCTTCTGAGAAAACTGAAGCCATTAGAAGGGAATGTTCAGACCTCCACTACTAATGGACTAGATCTGTACCAATGTATTTTTTTCTTCTAGCCTCTTACCATAGGAAAATTTTGTGATTTTCTTTAAAGCTGATCTCCCTACTTGAGTATAAGATTCCATTCTTTTTTTCCCCACACAAGTGCATCACTTTAATTTTTGTCTCTCTGCTATATATATATTTTTCGAGTCTCACTCTGTCACCCAGATGGGAGTGCAGTGGTGTGGTCACAGCTCACTACAGCCTCCACCTTCCAGGGCTCATGCAATCCTCCCACCTCAGCCTCTCACATAGCTGGGACTACAGGTGTGTGCCACCATCCCTGGCTAATTTTTGTCTTTTTTTTTTTTTTTTTTGTAGAGACAGGATCTTGCCATGTTGCCCAGGCTGGTCTCAAAATCTTGGGCTCAAGCAGTCCTCCTGCCTCAGCCTCCCAAAAGGCTGGGGTTACAGGCGTGAGTTACCTTGCCCCATCTCTAATCAGCATGTAAACATCCAGTTACTGTTCTCAACTTAAAAACAAAACAAAACAAAACAAAACAAGAAAACCTTGACATTATTTCTCCCTGCTAGGGACAGGCACAATTTGTATTTTCCTTCTGTAGCTAAACTCCTTCAAAGGAATCATCATGTTCTTTCTCTGATTTCCATCTACCGGTTTGAATCAAACCCACTTCAATAAGACTTTATTTTATTCCCTACTATCCTTCTGTAACTGCTGTCTTTAAGATCACTGAAAACTTCCACCCTGCTAAAACAACGGTCAACTCTTGATCCTCATCTAACTTAAGCTATGAGTAGCATTTAGCATAGTTAGTCGCCCACTCCTCCTTCCAGGAATTTCCTCACTTGGCTTCCAGCATACATTGCTTGGCTGGTTTTCCTCCCATCTTTTGCTTTCTCCATCTCAGTCTCCTTTCCTGGTTCCTCTCCTTGTCTCTGACCTTTTAATGTTCTGGTGCCCCAGAGCTGAATTCTTTGCCACCTGCTCTTCTCAATCTATACGTACTTCTTCTGTGATCTCACACATTCTTATGACTTCAAGTAATATCTGTATGCCCACAACCCTGAAATAAGTATTTCCAGCCCAGGTGTCTCTCCTGATCATCAGACTGGCATGTAAAGATCCAAAGCTCAACTCCCAGTCTTCTTCCTCAAACCTTCTCCTCATGTCAGCTGATGGGAATGT
Source organism: Homo sapiens (assembly GCF_000001405.40). Classification (NCBI taxonomy): domain Eukaryota; kingdom Metazoa; phylum Chordata; class Mammalia; order Primates; family Hominidae; genus Homo; species Homo sapiens. Next base: position 159,947 of record NW_019805498.1, read on the forward strand.
CATCCTTCCAGATTCCCAGACCAAACACCTTAGAATAACCAAGAGTCTTCTTTCTTTCACAATCCTGAATCCTATTTATCAGCAAATAATGTTGGCTCTACTTTCAAGCTATTATTATATCCAGTTTTGACCTTTTCTTATCTTTCTATTGATGACATTTCATCCAATCCACCTTGTCTCTCCTAATTGGGCTTCTAGCTTTTATCGTTGAACTTCTCTTTGCCTTGCTAGAAACAGTGATCCCTTGAAACCATAAAGCCAAGTATATCATTTATTTGCTCCAAATCCTTCATTGGCTTTGTATTTTTCTTAGAGTTAGAAACAAGTTCCTTTTCATGATCTGCAGAGCCCCACATGATTTGGCTCTCTGTTAACTTTCCTTCTTCTTCATTTCCTAGTATTGACTACGTGCCTCCAACGCCCTTGACCCCTTTGCTGCCCCAGAAGATTCTGGCCTCAGGATTTTGAGTGTTTCCCTAATTTCAAGGATATTCCCCCAGATATCCTCCTGGCTGGCACCCACAGCTCTTTCATGCCTCTCCCCAGTGTCATTTCTATTTAATATCATGAACCCCCACTCCTCTCTTTGGATTCCCAGATTCTCCTTATCCCATTCTGTTAGCCCCTAGTACTTAATCACTTTCAAAAATATTATGTAATTTACCTATAGTATGTTTACTTTTTTCTTTGTTTTTATTGCTAGAATATAAGCTCCATGGAGGGTGGGGGACAGAAATCTTTCTTTGGTCATTGATGTTAGCCTCGCATCTAGGATATCAATGGGTGTGTAAACAATATTCAATCAATGTTTGTTTCAATGAATTGTTGCCAAAGGAATGAAGTACGTGCTGCATATATTAATTGAAAATTCTTATTCTTTTTTAGATACAGAACAGTTTTGGAATGAACATTGCCAGTGCTACAATTGCACTAGTGGGGACTGCTTTTCTCTCACTAAATATAGCAGTTAATATCCAGTCATTAAGGAGTTGTCACTCTTCATCAGAGTCACCGGACCTATGCAATTACATGGGCTCCATATCAAATGTATGTTTCTGAAAAATATGTATAAGTATAAAATATTTCAAACAATCCAGGATGTACAGAAAAATAATATATCAGGTACCAATGTGCCATAATTTGAATCTTTTTTTTTTTTTTTTTTGAGACGGAGTCTCGCTCTGTCGCCCAGGCTGGAGTACAGTGGAGTGATCTCGGCTCACTGCAAGCTCCGCCCTCCTGGGTTCACAGCATTCTCCTGCCTCAGCCTCCCGAGTAGCTGAGACTACAGGCGGCCACCACCATGCCCAGCTAATTTTTTGTATTTTTTTAGTAGAGACGGGGTTTTACCGTGTTAACCAGGATGGTCTTGATCTCCTGACCTCGTGACCCGCCCGCCTCGGCCTCCCAAAGTGCTGGGATAAGGGGCGTGAGCCACCGCGCCCATCCCATAATTTGAATCTTGGGTCTGTCGCCTATTTGCTTTATAATGAAGGGCAAATTAGATAATCCCTTGAATTTTCTCATTTTTGAAATGAGGATAACAATAGTACCCGTCTCATAGGATTTATGTGAGTATTTAAAAAGTTAACATATGATAAGCAATTAAAACAAGGCTTAGCATATCATGATACACAATTATTATTACCACAACTACTACTATTACACTCCCCAGAGAGATTTTTTTTTAAGTTTCATTTCACTGGGCGCGGTGGCTCACGCCTGTAATCCCAGAACTTTGGGAGGCCGAGGCAGGCGGATCACGAGGTCGAGAGATCGAGACCACCCTGGCCAACATGGTGAAACCCCGTCTCTACTAAAAATACAAAAAAAAAAATTAGCCGGGCATGGTGGCAGGCGCCTGTAATCCCAGCTACTTGGGAGGCTGAGGCAGGAGAATCACTTGAACCCGGGAGGTGGAGGTTGCGGTGAGCCGAGATTGCGCCATTGCACTCCAGCCTGGGCAAAAAGAGTGAAACTGTCTCAAAAAATAAAAAAATAAAAAAATAAAGTTTCATTTCATATCTCCTTGCTTAATAAAACAAACTTGAGAGATTTACAACTTTCTCTGCAATCTGGAATGTTCAAATAATGACTTGAAGTTTTGAAGGACTGCGCTTTAGAATGAAATTAGCATGGTGTTTTCAAAGGAAAGCTCTTTAATAACCTTACCTTTTTTTTTTTTTTTTTTTGAGACGGAGTCTTGCTCTGTCACCCAGGCTGGAGTGCAGTGGCGCCATCTCGGCTCACTGCAAGCTCCACCTCCTGGGTTCACGCCATTCTCCTGCCTCAGCCTCCCGAGTAGCTGGGACTACAGGCGCCCGCCACCACGCCCGGCTAATTGTTTTTTTTTTTTTTTTGTATTTTTAGTAGAGACGGGGTTTCACTGTGTTAGCCAGGATGGTCTCGATCTCCTGACCTCGTGATCCGCCCGCCTCTGCCTCCCAAAGTGCTGGGATTACAGGCATGAGCCACCGCGCCCAGCCAACCTTACCAATTTTTTAAAAATTTGTGTTCAGGTACTCTACCTCTTCTGAACTCTACTTAGAAATTAATATTTTCCTTTGGAATTATCCATTTCATCCCAGTGATCTATGAACTGTTAATTACAGACTCACTCCTAAGCTTCCTGTTTTCTTTTTATTATTATTATTATACTTGAAGTTCTAGGGTACACGTGCACAACGTTCAGGTTTGTTACATATGTATACATGTGTCGTGTTTGTTTGCTGCATCTATTAACATGTCATTTACATTAGGTATTTCTGTTAATGCTATCCCTCCCCCAGCCCCCCACCCCACGACAGGCCCTGGTGTGTGATGTTCCCCGCCTTGCGTCCAAGTGTTCTCATAGTTCAGTTCCCACCTATGGGTGAGACACTACTTATGGAAGTTTGTGTTCTCATTTTCTTTATTACATTTTTAATGATCTAAATTTATATTTGTCGGAGCCTGATTTTTCTGTGAATTTGGAGGTATTTTTCCTCCAGGGATATATTGTATTGGTTGCTTCTAGGTGCCTCAGTAATAATAGTAGAATCATTAGCCCAACAATTTTATTTTTTGTTTATATTAGCTCAGTGTTTTAGTTTCTAGGGATAATGTAAATGCCTAAACCCCTATGAAGTGCTAATGAAATTGTGGAAGGGCCATTTTTGTTCATTTTTCTAAACTGCCTACTCCTCTCCTTAGTTTACTACTATTCAGATTGGAAGATGTTAGTGATAATGTCAGAATTTTGTTTCTACAGCTTCTTCCCCCTGTAGCTACTTCACATGCGTTGACATAGAAATGTGACACATCTTTCTCATTAGAGAAAATGTTTTCATGCTTTTAGATTGAGATACTATCTCTTCTACAGTGTTATATGTGTCTCTGTCTTTAATTTATGGTTCACTTTGTTCCACTTTACGGGAGGGAGATGTTGTAGTCTGGTTTCCTGCTGACATTTTTTTTTTTACCTCTGGATGTTGCCACTGGGTTTGATATAAGGCATCATATCCCCTAGGGCATGGTGTCTCTACTGCTGATTCTCACCTTGCTGGAATTATGCGTAACTATCTCTACCATAGCCATGTGGTGCAATGCAAACTGCTGTAATTCAAGAGAGGTGAGATTTTTCAAATGATTAATCATTCACATGATCTCAAAGCCTCCCTGTAGGGTTTGAAGTTGTTTCTGATGCTTAGAAATAAACCTTTATGTGGTAATGATTTGTGGAGTTCCTGGAATTAGAGATTGTATGAATGTTAGAGATGGAATGAAGGGTAGAAAAGAATTTGGATGTGAACATGCAAGAGGAAATACTGTACTTGATATATAAGAGCATACTTTCTTATACAGCTGTAATTAAGTTTTATTATTTTCTTATAACTTGTAACTTTCTAATTGTATGACCTAGGAAAAATTAATAATTCTTTCTAAATTTTAGATATATTAACTGTAAAATGAAAATAATATTTTCATTCTCTTCTAATGTTTGTTGTGAGTACTGTGTATATAATCTTTATGGCATTTGGCACAGTAAACATCAATGAATGGATTTTATTGTTGATGATTATGATGATAACAGGAAGGGATGGGAGGAGAAGGAGATAATGATCCTGTTCTTGGACATTAATGTTGTTTTATTTTCTAGGAAATTTCCTCACCTCCCAATTCTGTGTAATCAAGAATACCTCCTTATGAAAATAATTCTGAGAGCATGAATATTTGACCTTAAATCTCCAGTGACTCAGAGCTTCACCCACAAACTCAGGAGAACATAAGCCTGCTCGTAAAGCTCAATCCTTCTATCATGGCACCAATCACAAGAACCTTGGACGTTTGACTGACTCTATCCTTTCTCTCCTAACTATAAATCCTATTTGTGTGTCGTGGGTATGGAAGGACAGATATATTTCTTTAGGCATTCTTGGATATCTGTAACTTCTATGATCATTACTCCAAAGTTGTTTCCAGAAATTGGTTCTATTTCTTCTTATCCACCTACTCCATTGCTTTATGAGGTTTAAGGAAGGAAGGCGGTATAATCCCTATTCAATATATTTTTTCTAAAATCCAACTTCTGACCGCCCAGTAGGAAGAAAAATGAGACATTTTTTCCATTACAGAGAAATGCTTCTTGACTTTAACATCAGCATTATAAAAAGTGTCAAATAAAAAATTACCATCATTATCATTAAAATAAATTTTCACTGTATTTGAGATGGGAGGGTTAAGGCTCAGGGATTTTATTTCAGTGAACTGCTGGAACTCACACATGCCCTGATATGTAAATGATGATTTATGTTGGCGAGTCTGAGAGCAAGCCCAAATGTGTTCTTCAAAGGACAATGGGAAACTGTAAAGTAGAGAACTAAAGAATAAGGCCTTTAGAATCTGACACATCTGGGTTCAAATTCTGAAACTGTCACTTATTACCTGTATGAACATGGGCAAATTATCTAATCTCTCTGATCTATTTTTCCTCATCTGTAAAATAGGTGTAATAATAACAACTACTTTGTCGGTTGCTCTGAGGGTTAAATGAAAATAAAAAGAAAATGTGAAACAGCACCACAGGTACTTGACAATGATGTTGCTGTTGTGGTTGGTCTTGCTGTTGCTGGTGAAAGCTAAGGTGGGATTGTGGTCAGATGTGCTGGAGAGATACAGTGGAAAACTTACTTACACTTCCATTGTGGCTCCTCGTATAACCTCCAACAACTCCAATAGCCATCTTTTCGAGGTGGCAATGTGGCGTGAAAACTTCCCTCAGTTCCTCGTTTATAAATCTGCTAAAGCACTTATATTTCTTATTCATAAATATCCAAGAAAAATAAAATTTATGAATAAGAAATATAAGCACTTATTGTGTCCATAAATTTATACCAATAATTTATTCTTAGTTACGTGTATATCGTATGTGCAAAGGTTCTTTTCTAACACTTGTTGCCTACTTATATAATAATTATTTCTTTATTTTTTAATCCATTCTGCAGCGGGATAATTAAGGAACCAGAGAGACTGAGGGGTTGAGGAGGAATTATTTAATTATTTAGGTGCACCGACCCAGTCGGATTAACATCCAAAGGACTGAGCCCCAAACAAAGAGTCCGGTTACCTTTTAAGCATTTTGTGCAGCGGGGGACGATCTGTGCAGGGGGAAGCATATTACAGAAGTGAGAAACAAAGACAGTTATTCAATTAAGACATGTATTACATTATTTCTTATTTTTTCAAGGAAAAACATGTTTTACGACTTGAGTTTATCTGCCTAGTGACCTTGCACCTGCACAGCTAGAGAAATAGGGTCTTCACAATGCCTGGGAAAGGGAGAGATAAGGCTTACTAGCCGCAGAAAAACAGGCAGTTAATTTTAAAGGACTCCAGCTCTTTCTCTTCTTCAGGGGGAATTGGGTTTCTCTTACATACAACCGAGCTTTTGCTTACACATTCTTTAATTTCTTTTAATTCCTGTTCTAATTCAACAATCATTTAGGGAGTGCCTACAGTGTGTCACGTATTGTGCTAAGAGCTTGGCATATAATAGAGAATGATGCAAAATCTCTGCTCTTAAGTTGCTTGTAGTGGGAGATACAGACCCCTAGAAACACACAAGGGCTCTCATAGGAAGAGTATAGGAATCTTGAGAAGCACGTAGGACGAGATTCTAACCCAGATTAGAAGACATGTCAGTGATAATTTTTTAGAACACTTTTCTTCTCAACTGAGTTCTTAAAGATAACTGAGCGTTAACATGATGGAAGGCAAATGGAAGAAAAGAGGATACATTAAAAGCCTTTAAGTTAGAAAAAATTTTGAATATTCAAAGAATAAACTAGAGACTTTAGTGGGTCTAACTTCAGTGTATAATGGGCAGATGGAAAAATAAAAGTTTGGAGAGAGGTGTACATCACAAGAGATTATAAAATGACAGCACTGTGAGTTTTTTTTTATTTTTTTTATTTTTTATTTTTTATTTATTTATTTTTTTATTGATCATTCTTGGGTGTTTCTCACAGAGGGGGATTTGGCAGGGTCATAGGACAATAGTGGAGGGAAGGTCAGCAGATAAACAAGTGAACAAAGGTCTCTGGTTTTCCTAGGCAGAGGACCCTGCGGCCTTCCGAGGTGTTTGTGTCCCTGGGTACTTGAGATTAGGGAGTGGTGATGACTCTTAACGAGCATGCTGCCTTCAAGCATCTGTTTAACAAAGCACATCTTGCACCGCCCTTAATCCATTGAACCCTGAGTGGACAGAGCACATGTTTCAGAGAGCACAGGGTTGGGGGTAAGGTCATAGATCAACAGCATCCCAAGGCAGAAGAATTTTTCTTAGTACAGAACAAAATGAAGTCTCCCATGTCTACTTCTTTCTACACAGACACAGCAACAATCTGATTTCTCTATCTTTTCCCCACCTTTCCCCCTTTTCTATTCCACAAAACTGCCATCGTCATCATGGCCCGTTCTCAATGCGCTGTTGGGTACACCTCCCAGACAGGTTGGTGGCCGGGCAGAGGGGCTCCTCACTTCCCAGAAGGGGCGGCCGGGCAGAGGCGCCCCCCACCTCCCTCCCAGACGGGGCGGCTGGCCTGGCGGGGGCTGACCCCCCACCTCCCTCCTGGATGGGGCGGCTGGCCGGGCGGGGGCTGCCCCCACCTCCCTCCCGGACAGGGTGGCTGCCAGGCAGAGACGCTCCTCACTTCCCAGATGGGGCGGCTGCCAGGCGGAGGGGCTCCTCACTTCTCAGATGGGGCGGCCGGGCAGAGACGCTCCTCACCTCCCAGACGGGGTCACAGCCGGGCAGAGGCGCTCCTCACATCCCAGACGGGGCGGCGGGGCAGAGGCGCTCCCCACATCTCAGACGATGGGCGGCCGGGCAGAGACACTCCTCACTTCCTAGACGGGATGTCGGCCGGGAAGAGGCGCTCCTCACTTCCCAGACTGGGCCGCGGGGCAGAGGGGCTCCTTACATCCCAGACGGGGTGGCAGCCGGGCAGAGGCTGCAATCTTGGCACTTTGGGAGGCCAAGGCAGGCGGCTGGGAGGTGGAGGTTGTAGCGAGCCGAGATCACGCCACTGCACTCCAGCCTGGGCAACATTGAGCACTGAGTGAACTAGACTCCGTCTGCAATCCTGGCACCCCAGGAGGCCGAGGCTGGCGGATCACTCGCAGTTAGGAGCTGGAGACCAGCCCGGCCAACACAGCGAAACCGCGTCTCCACCAAAAAAAATATGAAAACCAGTCAGGCGTGGCGGCGCATGCCTGCAATCGCAGGCACTCGGCAGGCTGAGGCAGGAGAATCAGGCAGGGAGGTTGCAGTGAGCCGAGATGGCAGCAGTACAGTCCAGCTTTGGCTCGGCATCAGAGGGAGACCGTGGAAAGAGAGGGAGAGAGAGACCGTGGGGAGCGGCAGCGGGAGCAGGAGCGGGAGAGGGAGAGGGAGAGGGCAGCACTATGAGTTTTAAGAAGCAATTGAAAATGTATGCAGGTTCCAGGCACGGTGGCTCACACCTGTGATCCCAGCACTTTGGGAGGCCAAGATGGGTGGATCACTTGAGATCAGGAGTTTGAGACCAGCTTGGCCAACATGGTGAAATCCCGTCTCTACTAAAAATACACAAATTGGTCATGTGTGGTGGCATGTGCCTGTAATCCCAGCTACTCAGGAGGCTGAGGCAGGAGAATCGCTTGAACCTGGGAGGCAGAGGTTGCAGTGAACTGAGATTGCGCCACTGCACTCCAGCCTGGGCAACAGAGTGAGACTCCATCTAAAAAAAAAAAAAAAAAAGAAATTTACACAGGAATGTCCTGAGACTGGCTTATATTGGTTTGTGGAAGTCAATTTTAAATTTTCAGGGAGCACAGGTCAACATAGTTTGGGTAGCCTGAAGTTAGCTCTGATGGGAGGATTTACACCACAGAGATGGGGAAAAACCACAAGTTTTAGGATTCATGTGTAGATTTTGCCTGCAGCAAATACCATTGTGTTGTTCAAAAGGTGATTTTGTTTCCCTCATTTCTCCTTTATTTATCATTTAAATGTTTCAGTAAGGAAGATTTGTATCTTCTTTCATTTGTTTATTAAAGTATTTATATTGTTATGTACTCATGAATATTTATATTATTCTTTTGGTTATGAGCAATATTTGTTTTGTTTCTCAAAGTTTTCCAGCTTTGGCCATTGGGAGCTGAGTTGGCTCCTGTGTAGTTTTGACATGCTGCACCCCACTCTCCCCTTTTTAGCACTTCCATATTTTCTGGAACTACAAGATTCTTCATGTTATTTCACCTGCTACAGACCTAGAATTTTCATTTCTTCAGGGAGCCCTGGTTTCTTTACTTAGAGAACTATATTTAGAAAACCTGACCTGGAGGCAAGATGTGCTCATTGCTACTGTATGTCACTGCTTTTAGCCCCCCTCAGGAGACAAAGCTAAGAAATATATGCATGTACACTGACCCATGCATGCACATGTCTATATTTATTATCATATGTATGTATCTATCCATCTCTCTCTCTCCATCATGAATTCCTACTGATAAATTCCACTCAAATATGGCCACACAGGGTCCATTCTAGCAACCTCTCAACCTTGCTTATTTATAACCTGTTTTCTGAATATAATAAATCTGGCAACAATTTCCACAATTTATTTCCTTACCTGTTTAACATTAGTATACATGTAAATTCATTTCAGAATTGCTAACCAGTATTTTTGTGAGAAATAAATTTACCACCTAGAGTACACTGTTTGTGTACAGTTCTTTTTATCCTTAGCTTTAAGGTATGCAGTCAGAGTAGTTGTTTTTTATAGGTACTTAGGCCAGCTCCTTTTAACCTCTACCTCTTTCGGTGAGGTTGGCATGCATTTCTAATGTTGTTTAATTTATTTTTCACAGTTTAAATTTCATCCTGCATTCCATAGGTATCTTGGTGAATTTTTATTTTAAACTAGCCTACAGTAAAGTTCATTATTTGCAAAACATCATTTTATCAGTTTTAACGAAACATAGAGTTATGTATCCATAGTACCATACAAAGCAGTTTCATCATCCTAAGAGTTCCCTTCTGTAATCTCTTGAAAATCAACTTCTCTCCCCACCCCAAACTCTGGTAACAACCAAACTATTTTCCATATTAATAGATATATAGATATAGTCTTTTCATATGATATTCTGGAAAATACTATATCTATATATCTATTCATATGGAGGCAGTAGGGTGAGAAGGAGTGAAGGCAGAGATCCAGTCATAAAGCAATGGGTGTTATGGAATGGATTTCAGAGGATGGTGATATTACTAATAATGCCAATTTGAAAGGTCACTATGGCTGCATTATGAATAACAGCTTTGAGAGGGCTGGTACATAAGTGAATATGTAAAAAAGAAACCCAGTGGTACATAAGTGAATATGTAAAAAAGAAACCCAGTAAGAATGGTATTAACAGTGTAAAGTTGGACAATAATATGAGCTTGGATAACTGCTGTGCCAGTGAAAATCAAACAAGTATACAAAATCAAGATAGTTTTAGAATTGGGAAATTTGAGACAAAAATAATGGTGTTAGGAAAGCTAGATATTTACATGGAACAAAGTGATATTGGACCCTTATACCATATACACAAATTAACTCAAAATGAATTAGAGACTTCAGTGTAAGATCTGAGATGATGAAAATTCTAAAAGAAAACATAGGGAAATCTCCTTGACATTGGTCTTGGCAATAATTTTTTTGATAAGACACCAAAAGCACAGGTGACAAAAGCAAAAATAAATAACTGGAGTCACATCAAACTAAAAAGTTTCTGCATAGCAAAGGAAACTAACAAAATGAAAAGTCAATATATAGAATGGGAGAAAACATTTGCAAGCCATTTATCTGATAAGAGGTAAATATGCAATATATGTAAGGAACTCCTACAATTCAGAAGAAAAAAACCACATAACCTTATTTTTAAAAATGGGCAAATGACCTGAATAGACATTTTTCTAATGAAGACATACATGTGGCCAACAGCTACATAAAACATGCTCAACATTACTAATTATTAGAGAAATACAAATCAAAACCATAATGAGCTATCACCTCACAGCTGTTAGAAGAGCTATTATCAAAAAGACCAAAGATAGCAAGTGTTGGCCAGGGTATAGAGAAAAGCGAACCCTTGTGCACTGTTGGTAGGAACATAAATTGGTACAGCCATAGGGAAAACTGTGTGGCGGTTTCTCAAAAAGTTAAAAATAGGTCCAGCAATCCCACTTCTGGTATATATCCAAAGGAATTGAAATCAGTGTGCTGAAGAGATATCTGTACTCCCACGTTCATTGCAGCAATATTTACAATGGCCAAGATATGGAAACATCCTAACTATCCATGAACAGATAAATGGATAAAGAAAATGTGGAATACATATATAATGGAATATATTTTTTAGTGATAAAAAGGAAGGAAATCCTTCCATTTGTGATAACACGAATGGAACTGGAAGTCATTATTCTAAGTGAAATAAGCTAGGCACAGAAAAACAAATACTGTATGAGCTCATTTATTTGTGAAACCCAAAAAATTTGAACTAATAAAAGCAGAGAGTAGAACGATGATTATCAGAGACTGGGGAGCAGGGGACGGGAGGGAAGTTTGGCTAAAGGGTACAAAACTTCAGTTACAAAATAAACAGGAGCTTTCGAGCAGCGAGATCCAGGGACAGAATCTCAGCTTCCTGCTGCGGCTGCTGCTGCCTAGAGACTGCTGAACCCCTGTCCGTCTACTTCCACCTACTCCGGACACAGAGCATCCAGTCATGGATAAAAATGAACTGGTTCAGAAGGACAAACTGGCGAGTAAGCTGAGCAATATGATGACACTGCAGTCTGCATGAAGTCCCTAACTGAGAAAGGAGGCGAATTATCCAATGAGGAGAGGAATCGTCTTTCAGTTCCTTATAAAAATGTTGTAGGAGTCTGTAGGTCATCTTGCAGGGTCATCTCAAGTATTGAGCAAAAGACAGAAGGTGCTGAGAAAAAAACAGCAGATGCCTTGAGAATACAGAGAGAAAATTGAGAAGGAGCTAAGAGATATCTACAATGATGTGCTATGTACTATGTCTTTTGGAAAAGTTCTTGATCTCCAATGCCTCAGAAGCAGAGAGCAAAATATTCTATTTAAAAATGAAGGAGGGCTGGGTGTGGTGGCTCACGCCTGTAATCCCAGCCCTCTGGGAGGCCGAGGCGGGCGGATCACGAGATCACAAGTTCGAGACCAGCTTGGCCAATATGGTGAAACCCCATCTCTACTAAAAATACAAACATTAACCGGTCGTGGTGGCATGCGCCTGTAGTCTGAGCTACTCAGGAGGTTGAGGCAGAAGCATCGTTTGAACCCGGGAGGTGGAGGTTGCAGTGAGCCGAGACTGCGCCATTGCACTCCAGCCTGGCGGAGGGAGCAATGCTCCATTTCAACAACAACAACAACAACAACAACAACAACAACAAAGAGACTACTATTTTTACTTGGCCTGAGGCTGCTGCTGGTTATGACACAAAAGGGATCCTAGATCAGTCACAACAAGCATACCAAGAAGCTTGTGAAATCACCAAAAAGGAAATGCAACCAACAGATCCTATCAGATTGGGTATGGCTCTAAACTTCTCTGTCTTCTATTATGAGCTTCTGAACTCCCCAGAGAAATCTCATTCACTTGTAAAGGCAGCTTTTGATGAAGCCCTTGCTGAACTTGATACATTAAGTGAAGAGTCATACAAAGATCGCCTGCTAATGCAGTTACTGAGAGACAAATTGACACTGTGGACATTGGATACTCAAGGAGATGAAACTGAAGCAAGAGGAAGAAAAAGTTAACCAGCCCTCCGACTTTTTTCTGCCTCATCCTAAAATTTACACAGTAGACCATTTGTCATCCATGCTGTCCCACAAATAGTTTTTTGTTTAGCTTTATGACAGGTTTATGTGTATTGCAGCAATATTCAGAATGGCCAAGATATGGAATTTCTATTTAAATTTTAATATTTCCCATGTGGTTTTTATGTTTAATATTAGAAGATTAGAGCCAGTCAACATTTAGCGAGTTATCTTTTTTCATCTTGAGATGGCAAATATGGGGATGTGGAATTTTTATACAAGTTATAAATGTTTGGCATAGGACTTTTGGTACATTGTGACTTCACAATGTCCAGAGTTAAAACTGCTTCCATGTCTGAGTGAAGAAAACTGCCTACATATTGATTTGTCCCCATGGGGAATAAAAGGGATAATTCGTTCCAGTCACAGATATAGTAACTGTGGGTACTTTAAGGTCTGGAGCACTTACAAGGCTGTGGTAGAAACAGATATGCTATGGATATCACATGTTAAACCACATATATCTGCAGAGTACTCAATCTCAACGTGCACACATTTGACTACAGCTGCAGAAGTGCTCCTTTAGACAGAGCTGAGACCAGTTTACTCTGCATACGGGCAGAAGTGGTTTATATTCCATATTTGTAAAGTTCACTGCTGTTTGCTTTCAGTATTTTTGCTACGCTCATTATCTTTGTATTTAAATGTTTTAGGCAACCTAAGAACAAATGTAAAAGTAAAGATGCAGTAAAAGCGAATTGCTTGATAGTCATTACTTCATGTACATCAAGCAAATCAGTAAAATTAAAAAAAAAAGTATTTAATTTTTAAAGTGTTTTTTCTTTTATGCCTTTTTTTGATACTTGCCTCACATGCATGTACTGTAAAAGTAGTTAACAGAGAAGTAACTGGACATGATGCACAGTTTTGTTTCATATCTTATGAAATTTTTATGGACAATCCAACATAATTGTTAATAACACATGTATTATGTTCATGTAAGTGGAATAAACGCTGTATAAATAGACTTTCCAGCTGCTTTCTCTATAGCTTTTCATGTAAATTAGTCTTTTGATTCTGAAATTTCTCTAAAGGAAATTGTCCATTTTTTGAAATTTATTCCTCATTCTCCCTTGGCAGTTAATGAAATTTTACCAAGTTTAAACACAAAATTTATCATAGCAAAAATACTACTAACATAACTACTGTTTGCAGCCATGCCCCATGTTCCCCTCTGCTCCTCCTCACCCTGAAAAAAATGAGTTTCTGTTTTTTCTAGTGGAAGGGGATTGATTGGAAAAAAGTAATATGTTCCTTTTTAAATTTTAATATACAGCATTTTCTAACTTAGGAAGCCACAATGTTCTTGGTCCATCATGACATTGGGTAGCATTAACTGTAAGTTTTGGGCTTCCAAATCACTTTTGATTTTTTAAGAATAATTTATAGATACTATTATAGGCTGCCTTTGATTTTGATCCTTTATTCTTTCTATTTTTCAGGAGCACAAGATTACCTTCCTTTTTTAGCCTTCTCTCTTGTCACCAACCATTCCTACTTGGTGGCCGTTTACTTGGAAAAAGGCCGCATGATCTGTCTGGCTCCACTCAGTGTTTAAAACACTCTGCTTCCTTTGCCTGCATCCCATAAACTATTTCCCTCATCCTATTTACTGCAACAAACCTCTCCTTAGTTTGTGTTTATCTCTCTTTAAACCTTATCTATCCTGAATATTCTGTCATTGTCTGCCTTTAAAATCCTTCCTCTTTCTCTTCCTCTATTCTCTAAATAATGATGGGGTAAAGTTATATCCAAAGTTCGCTCTACAGAATATTTTCTCAATACTCTGCAGAAAACACCAAACCAACCATTTTAAAAGAGGCATTTTTTTGTTTTGTTTTGTTTTTTTAGAATGTAATCTCCTCAAGAGCAGGGACAATGTTGTCTCTATGTTCTATTGTGCCTCACACATTGTAAATGCTCAATAAATATTGATGACAGGAGGCATTGAGTCCTGATTATAAGGGTGAGAAATTGAAATCCCAAACACTGTTTTGTTGCTTGTTTTATTATGACCTTAGATTAAGTTGGAAAATATTTGTCCTTTTGAATAACTGTCCCAAATATTACATTCAAATAAAAGTCCAATGGAGGAAAAAAAAAAGACTAACAAGTTCTGGGTTTCTAAGGTGATGTGGTTTGGCTGTGTCCCCACCCAAATCTCATCTTGAATTGTAGTTTCCATCATTCCCATGTGTCGTGGGAGGGACCCTGTGGGAGGTAATTGAATCATGGAGGGGGCTGTTCTCATGACACTGAGTGAGTTCTCACAAGATCTGACGGTTTTTTAAGGGGCTTTTCCCTCTTTCCTCAGCACTTCTCCTTCCTGCCCTCATGTGAAGAAGGACATATTTGCTTCCCCTTCTGCCATCATTGTAAGTTTCCCGAGGCCTTCCCAGCCATGTGGAACTGTGAGTCAATTAAACCTCCCTCCTTTATAAATTGCCCAGTCTCAGGCAGTTCTTTATAGGAGTGTGAGAACAGACTAATACATAAGGTATGACATGGGTGGTGATGGATATGTAAATTAATTTGATTATAGTAGTCATTATACAATGTATATGTTTATCAAGTCATTACATTGTACATCTTAAATATATACAACCTGTGTCAATTACATATTTAAAAGCTGGGGCAGGGGAATAAGCAAACATGGAAACCTCCAGCCAGCCACCCACATTATAACAAAAACAAAAATTGTGGCTAAATAGATACTTGCCATGGAAAATAGTAATGAAAATTTGTAATAGATCATAAATAATAGGACATGCCTGAAAGAGGAAAAGACAAATTGATATTTTATTCAAAATACATTATATTGAGGTATGTGAAAGGTACAGAAAAATGTACAAATAGTGTACAACTTCATAATTTTTTTATTACGGTAAGAACACTTAACATGAGTTAACACTTAACAGTCCTCTTAACAAATTTTTAAATGTACACTACATTATGGACTATAGGTGCAATGTTATACATTATATCTTTAGAGCTTATTCATTTTGCTTGACTGAAACTTTATGACTGCTAATTAGCAACTCTCTATGTCTCTCTCCTAGGGACTGGCAACCATTATTCTACTCTTGGATTCTGTGAATTTGACTATTTACATACCTCATACAAATGAAATCATGCTGTATTTGTCCTTTAGTGACAGGCTTATTTCACTTAGCAAATGTCTTCCAGGTTCATCCATTTTGTTGCAGATGGTAGGATTTCCTTTTTTTAAAAAAAAAAGACTGAATAATATTCCATTGTATGTATTTAACACACATCCATTTATGGATATTTAGGTTGTTTCCACATCTTAGCTATTCTGAATAATGCTTCAATGAACATGGGATCCTGGTATTAATTCTCTTAAATATAGAAAGGTAGGGTTGATGGATCATATGGAAGTTCTATATTTAATTTTTGCTGAAACCTCCAGTTTTTCATAGCTGCTGTGCCATTTTACATTCCCACCAACGGTGTACAAGAATTCCAATTTCTCCACATCCTCGCAAATACTTATTATTTATTTATGTGTTAATAATGGTCATCCTAACAGGTATGATGAGGTGATATCTCATTTTGGCTTTGATTTGCATTTCCCCAATGATTAGTGATGTTGAGAATCTTTTCATCTACCCATTGGCCATATGTATGTCTTTTTTGGAGAAATGTCTGTTCAAGTACTTTGCCTACTTTTTAAATTGGGTTATTGTTTTTGTTTGTTTGATTGTTTAACTACTGAGTTGTAAAAGTTTCTTATATATTTTGGATGTTAATCCCTTATCAGATAGATTATTTGCAAATATTTCTCCCATCCTATAGGTTGTCTCCTCATTTTTTTGATTGTTTCCTTTGCTGTGCAAAAAGTTTTTATTTGATTTATTTCTACTTACCTATTTTTACTTTTGTTTCTTTGCTTTTGGTGTCTTATCCAATACATTATTGCCAACTTCAATGTTACGAAACTCTTCCTCTATGTTTTATTTTATGGGATTTACAATTTTGGGTCTTCTTTACAGTTAATTCTTCAATTCATTTTAAGTTGAATTTTGTATATTGTGTAAGATAAAAATCAATTTCAGTCTATTATGTAGGATATCTAGTTTTCCCGGCACCATTTGTAGAAAAGACTCCTTTTCTCATTCTGTATTGTTGGCAACCTTGTTGATGATCAGTTGACCATATATGTGTGGATTTGTATCTGGGCTCTTTTGTTCTGTAGGTCTTATGCCTGTCTTTATGCCAGCATTATACTGTTTTAATTACTGTTGTTTCTTAATACATTTTGAAATCAGCAGATGTCTCTAGCCTTGTGTTTTCTCAAGATTGTTTTGGCTGTTGGGGCCCTTTGTGGTTTCATGTGAATTTTAGAATTTTTATCAGCTTCTGTAAACAATTCTATTAGCATTTTGATAGAATTTGCTTTGAATCTGTAAATTGTTTTGGGTAGTGCAGAAATTTTAACAATATTAAGCCTTCCAATCCATGAACATGGATGTCTTTTTATTTATTTGTGTTTAATTTCTTTCCTCTGTGTTTCATAGTTTTCAGTGTACAGGTCTTTTACCTCATTAATTAAGTTTATTCATAAGTATTTTATTCTTTTCGATGCTATTTTAGATGAGATTATTTTCTTAATTTTCTTCTCAGGAAGTTTGTTGTTAGTGTATAGCAACACCACTGATTTTTGTATTCTGCTACTTACAGAATTTATTTATTCAAAGTGTATGTGTGTGCACATGTGTGAGTATATGTAGTCTTTAGGATTTTTACATATATGATTATGCCATCTACAAAGAGAGATAATTTTACTTTTACTTTTTTCCAATTTGAATACCTTTTATTTATTTTCCTTGCCTAATTTTTCTTGCTAGGAATTTTAGTACTATGTTGAACAGAAGTGGCAAAAATGGGCATCATTGCCTTGCTCTTTACTTTAAAGAAAAAGTGATTTTATACTCTCATATACTTTCATATTGCTTTTAATTGTTCTTTGTTGCAACTTGAAAAACTCCTTTCAGCATATCTTGTAATGCAGGTTCAGTGGTGATATATTTCCTCAGCTTTTGTTTGTCTAGGAAAGTATTCATCTCTCCTTCATTTCTGAAGAATGGTTTTGCCAAGAGTAGTATTCTTGGCTGGTATTTTTTTTTCTCTCTCAGCACTTTGGATATATCATCCCACTTACTTCTGGTCTGCAAAGTTTCTGCTGAAAAATTCTCCTAATATTTTTATGGGGACACCACTGTATTAACAAGTCACTTTTCTTTTGCTGCTTTCAAAATTCTCACTTTGCCCTTGACCTTTGATAATTTATCATAATGTATCTCAGTGTGGATATCTTGGTATCATCTTATTTGGGGTCCACTGGGCATCGTAGGTGCCCATTAGGGGATTTCTAGATGCCCTTAGATTTGGAAAATTTCCTTTATTATTTTTTGAATAAGCTTTCTTTTTCTCTCCCTTCTTTTTCCGAGAATCCTATAATTTCTATACTGACCCACTTAATGGTGTCCCATAAGTCCTTTATGCTTTTTCTTTTTTTTTTTTTTTTGAGACAGAGTCTCACTCCGTTGCCCAGGCTGGAGTGCAGTGGCACAATCTCGGCTCACTGCAAGCTCTGCCTCCTGAGTTCATGCCATTCTCTTGCCTCAGCCTCCTGAGGAGCTGGGACTACAGGCGCCTGCCACCACGCCTGGCTAATTTTTTTTTTTGTATTTTTAGGAGAGATGGGGTTTCACCGTGTTAGCCAGGATGGTCTCTATCTCCTGACCTTGTGATCTGCCCGTCTCAGCCTCCCAAAGTGCTGGGATTACAGGCATGAACCACCAAGCCCAGCCCTTTTAAGCTTTTTTTTTACTCTTTTTATTCTTTTCATTTCTGTAGATAATTTCAATAAACTTTCTTCAAGTTCACTGACCTTTACTTCTGCTTGCTCTAGTCTGCTGTAGAACCTACCTAGTGAATTTCATTTCAACTATTGTGTTCTTCAGCTCTATGATTTCTATTAGATACTTTTAAATCTTTCTATGTCTCTTGAAATTCTCATATTCATGCATGTTCTCCTGACCTTATTTTGCATGTTTACGATGGTTATTTTGATTTCTCTGTCAGGTATATCACATATCTTTGTATCCTTGCGGTCAGTTTCTGGAAACTTATTCTATTTTTTGGAGCATATTTTTCTGTTTCTTCGTTGTCCTTGACTCTTGTGTTGATGTTTGCACAATAGTCTCATAGAATGGACTCATATAGGAGAAGCACTTCACCAATCTGCCAGTCCAGACATTCTGGGAGCATCTCAAGTCCAGATGCTATCTCAGACTGTTATTTCTGTTCTCAGTGGTTCCCAGGCATTTGGAATATGGCAGGACCCATAAATGCTCTGAGACAGTTGAGGTAGAGCCAGTGCCTTGGGCAGCCCTCAGAAAAATCAGACTGTTGAACATATGGTTCTCTCTTTTTCTTTCCCTTCTCAGGGAGCTGGGTTTTTTTTTTGTTTTTTTTTTTTTGGAAAGGGAGCAGTTGTGGTTCAGTGTTGTTCTGTTTGTTTTGCCTATTTGCTTTGCCCTGAGCTGGAAGCGGGGAATGTGGCATGTAGTAGCTTGCTATTCAAACTGCAGCCTTTGTTCTTAATGATGCCCCTGTGTCTAGGGTATGCCAGGTCCTGTCTGCCATTGCCTGAGATAGGTAAAACAGAAGTAAACGCCCTGGCAGCCCCCAGAAAAATTAGAATGCTGGACTTATGGCCCAGTGTTTTCATTCCTTCACCAAGGAGAAGCTTGAGGAATTGCCACACTGTCTTCCACAATGGTTGAACTAATTTATACTCCCAAGCGTTCCTATTTCTTTGCATCCTTGCCAGCATCTGTTCAGTTTCCAGACTTTTTAATGATCACCATTCTAATTGGCGCAAGATGGTATCTCATCGTGGTTTTGATTTGCATTTCTCTAATGACCAGTGATGATGAGCTTTTTTACATGTGTTTGTTGGTCACATAAATGTCTTCTTTTGCGAAGTGTGTGTTCATATCCTTTGCCCACTTTTCGATGGGGTTGTTTATGTTTTTTTCTTGTAAATTTGTTTAAGTTCCTTGTAGATTCTGGATATTAGAACTTTGTCAGATGGATAGATTGCAAAAATTTTCTCCCATTCTGTAGTTTGCCTGTTCACTCTGATGATAGTTTCTTTTGCTGAGCAGAAGCTCTTTAGTTTAATTAGATCCCATTTGTCAATTTTGCCTTTTGTTGCATTTGCTTTTGGTGTTTTAGTCATGAAGTCTTTGCCCATGCCTATGCCCTGAATGGTATTGCCTAGGTTTTCTTCCAGGGTTTTTATGGTTTTAGGTTTTACTTTTAAGGCTTTAATCTGAGACAGCATAAATTTCAACTTGTAGCATGCAAATTCATGCATATTTATTTTAAGTAAATTGAGCATTCAGTTTGAGAAAACAATTGTTAATGGATACAAAAGCAAATTTTTTGTCAGTTTCAAGAAAGAAATCTAGTATGTAACTTAAAGAGGAAACCTTGCTTGTCAAAGAGGAAGCCAGAGATGTGGGGTGGGTGAAAGGCATGTGCAAAGACCGTGCTAGAGGAGGAAAGATACATGGTAGGGAAGGGGTGTTAGCTCTGTTATCTCTTCCTTTCAGGTAGCAGCATAGTTAAAACTCATCTTGATAATTTTGCCTCACCAAAAAAGCCAGTCATTTTGTCATATGTTTCAATGTTCATTATTGTGAAAGATGATAAAACATGGCTGAAGGGAACCAAAGTGTGGGCATAGAAGATAATAGGTAACTTACGAAGGGGCAAGGAGGTGGTTGTGAAAATTGGAATAGGAAACAATTTGGAGGCCGTAAGGTATGACAGGTTCTGATTTGCATTTTGCAAGGTTCTGTTGACAGTTCTCACAAAACAGCATCGTGTGCAAACACCAAAGACCATCTTCAGTTTGTTTCCAGTCTAAATCTCAAGTTCAATTAGTGATTATTTGCTGCACAAATAATTAACTACTATAAGCTACTAGAAAACGCCACACAGAACCATGACTTCAGGACTTTTCCCAGCAGGTGTGGGGTAATTTCACTAAGAAGGAGGCAATAAGGCTGGGTGCCGGGGCTCACGCCTGTAATCCCAGCACTTTGGGAGGCCGAGGCGGGTGGATCACCTGAGATCTGGAGTTCAATCTAGCCTGACCAACATGGAGAAACCCTATCTCTACTAAAAATACAAAATCAGCCGGGCGTGGTGGCGCATGCCTGTAATCCCAGCTACTCCGGAGACTCAGGCAGGTGAATCGCTTGAATCCAGGAGGTGGAGTTTGCGGTGAGCCGAGATCGCGCCATTGCACTCCAGCTTGGGCAACAAGAGCGAAACTCCGTCAAAAAAAAAAAAAAAAAAAAAAAAAAAGAAAAGAAAAGAAAAAGAAAGATAAAATGAAAATTCGTGGCTGGGCGCAGTGGCTCACTCCTGTAATCTCAGCACTTTGGGAGGCCGAGGTGAGTGAGTCACCTGAGGACAGGAGTTCAAGACCAGCCTGGCCAACATGGTGAAACCCCTTCTCTACTAAAAATTCAAAAAAATTAGCCCAGTGTTGCTGCACACTCCTGTAGTCCCAGCTACTTGGGAGGCTGAGGCAGGAGAATTGCTTGAATCTGGGAGGCGGAGGTTGCAGTGAGCCATTGCCCTCCAGCCTGGGTGACAGAGTGAGACTCTGTCTCAAAAAAAAAAAGAAAAAAAAAGAAAATAGAAAATTATCGAGGCTATCATTTTAATTTTAAGTCTGCTCTCAAATGTTACCTTGTCTGGGAATTC